>NC_000004.12:114224411-114375926 GCF_000001405.40 Homo sapiens
CCAAATGCATACTTTAGCACGTAATGGCTTGTGGAATTTAACTATAGCTGCACAAAGGTAATTTTTAAAATTTCAGTTAACTGATATTAATGTTTATCAATTTACATTAAACTTTCCTTCTCTGAGATCTATTACACAAGGTAGTCTTTGCTCTTTCCTTTATTGACCTGTGAATTTCATAATAAATTATACAGTCTATAGAATATCTTTACATTGTTTTTAGTTTGAAACAAAGACCAAGATGATGGAGGTCAGAGTTTTGTCATTTATTCCTAACTATATTCATTTAGCAAATATTAATTGAGAATTCTGTAAAAGGCTTGGCTCTGTGAAAGATAATCATTTGTATAAGATTTGGCCTCTGTATGCTATAAGTCTTTAATATAAAAGGGGATATAACTGTGTTAACAAATAATTGCAACATAATAAACATATAAGTGTATCAGTGAAGCAAAGTGCCATAGGAATTCATTGGAGATACCAATTACCACTTCCCTTCCCCATAAGCAAAGAATACCTAATAAATGGATTTTAAAAACTAAGTGAAGTGGGAGTTTCAGCTTAATAGTCTCAATACTGATGTCTTCCTTAAACAAGAAGGCAGGGCTGCCTGAAAAATCTAGAGTGTTTAGGAAAGTTAGGCAAGAGAATTGGAGAAGATAAGAGATGACTTGGAACTTAAGTTATAGGGAACAGACTAATCTATCCTCTAGAAATGAATAATAAGATAGTCAAGTAGCTTTGAGAACTCACTTGAAAATAGGCAGCATGAATTTCTGATAGGCCAGTCAGCATGGTTCTATGATTAGCAAAGTCAAATGAGAAAAATGTTCTTAACTATCCTTAGCAGACATTGTGGAAAATTTAACTATTTGAGCAAAAAGTCTATTTTGAACTATAATAGGTCATTCATCTTCACTGTAACTGCTGAGGTCATTAAACTTTTACAGAGAGCCTGACTGCAATATTTAAAAAACTGTATGTTTCAATTTGTTTCTGCTTTTAGAGTGTTGAAATGTAAAATAATAGAGGACTCAGACTTTGTCTCATGCTTGAGGTGCTGTTGGTTTTCTATATATTACATAACAAGAGAGGGTAATGTCCTGCATGGTTGTATTTTACTCAGAATACAATATATGTTCCAAGTGGTTACACATGATTTATAATTGTTGGTAAGATGGTTCTGTCAGGCAAACTATGTTGCGGCTTATTTTCACTAATCACATCTCATAAATCACTATAAAAACAGGTCACGGCATACATGAAGTACTGCAAAACAGCACTTAAAATGCATTTGCCTTAATATCATCCTATGGAGGGCTTCAACTTAATGGGAAAAGTAAATGGATGTTATCCTCTAAGATCAGATATACATACTCAACATTTTTTGGCCTGCTTCCACTAAAGTGATAATAGAGCTGAAATCATAGCACATTATTTTACGCTTTTATGTTCTCTATCCTTGTTAGATATTTCTAACTCTGTCACCACATAAGCTCCTAGTGCATAGTATAATTCCAAAACACCCTGAAAAATGAGTCTTCCATAAGACATTTCACATTTTCTTATTATTGCGGTTTGTCACTTCTCTTCTGTTCACTTTCTTTGTAGATGTAGAGGGAAACAGACGAAAGATGTCAAGAAGGAAAGCATTATTCCTTCTTGGTATCTTTGCTCTGTTTCCCTCTACATCTACAAAGAATAGGAAAGGAATAATGCTTTCCTTCTTGAGTCTTGACCTGAACAAGTGAGCCAGGCCCTGTATAAAGGTGATAATGATCTAATAGTGATTAAGACCCTTTCTTCATATTGCGGATTACTAGTTTAAGAGTCAAGAAATAGTGATTACTTTGCTCTAGCAGCCTTCAAGTGCATGGGTCAGTGAATGAACCACTGGCCCTGGTCAGAGTATGGGTGGCCTCTGCATAGTGATGCATACAGCAGGGAGGGAGGGTGGCCTCTGCATAGTGATGCATACAGCAGGGAGGGAGGGTGGCCTCTGCATAGTGATGCATACAGCAGGGAGGGAGGTGCTGTGAACGTGCTAAATCCTGGCGAAAGTTCCTAAGGATGTGGTAGCTGGTGTTGCCTTATTTAATTCTGATTCCACCCTGAAACCCAATTCTGCTTCTTATCTCTCCATGGACAAAAAACCTGGTGACTTATATAGCCAAGCCATGGTCCAGAAAGTACTATTAACACTACTTCAATTATCAGTCCATTTTTCCTTAGAAGGAGATGGTCCAAACCATGAGATCATCAAGTTAGCAGACAGGAATGCCCTCAACAAAACTAACAGCAGTCAAACCCTTCTTTGTCTTTCTTCCTAGTTAAACCTTTGTGACAATTCCCTTCACATATACTCCGGATCCCATCTCCACTCATCCTTTCAGTTTTGCATCACCAGTATTCTCTCTTTGAATCATTCTCTTCAGGACACCAATGTGGTCTAGTATCACCCATATTTTTTTAAAAAGAAAATTCTTAGCCACATGTCTTTTTGAGTTACACATGATTTTTACTCCCCTCTGATGTAGCCAAACTTCTGTCTATGACATGCTGCTTTCAAGACCAAAGAATAGAGACACGCGTTTTGTCTTTTGGGTGGCCTCCATGCATAGTCCTGGTTGCCCTTTCTCTTCCCTTTTTATGCGGGTTGGCAGAGCTGGCTGAACAGCACTGGGTAAGCTCATCAAAAGAACACACGGTCTCTCTCCATCTCATACCAGAGGCATTAGTATGTGACCCCGCTTGACTAAGTAATTGTCTTACAAAGGCCACATCCCTGGCCAAGGAGCTTCCATTATTACAAGGTTAACTAGAGTTCCCTGACATTTCCCAGCTGTCCTATAAACACATATAGCACCCTCAGTATTCCTTTCCATGTTTTCTCCAGATAACTGAGCATAAATCTCACAGTATGTGCATCCCACTGACTCTATTGTCTCTATATTTCCCTAATAAATATATTATGAAAACTAGTATGCATGCATTTCTGTCTCTTGTATTACAGCCTCCAGTGACTTCCATGCTCAACTCTAACAGATACTCTCGTCTTCTCATTTTACTCAAGTCCTTGCTAGCATGCAACATGTGAACAATTTCTTCTTTTCGTCTCTCAGTTTCCATGACTCTATACCAGTGGGCCTTAAACTTTAGAGTGCATCAGAATCACCAGAGTTTCTGTTTCAGTAGGTCTGAGGTGGGGCCTAAGACCTGTTTCCAGGTTATACTGATGTCTTTGTTCTGGAGACCATACTTTGAAAACCATCATTCTATACTGTCATGGACACTTCATTATCTTTGTAATTTCCCCATTATTGATGCTACTACTGTGGCTACTTGTCATCATCCTCTGTGCCAGATCAGCCTCCTTCCTATGATCTCTAATTTCTCCCCAGTTATCAGCCTCCCATTTTAGTCTCAGATCTATGGTTGTATCCTTATGTTAGTAACGCCAACATTTTTTTAAAAAGTGCTAGCATACGCATTTTGTGTAAAACTTCCTAGTCTTTAAGCCTCAATCATCTCATGGTGTTGCAAGGACTAAATTGTGAACCTTAATTACTTTGGCCAACACAAAAATTATACTATGATAATTTATAAAGCAACAACACTGCCACCAGGTAACCAAGCATAGACCATATACTATTTTAAAGCAGGCCTTTAAAAGATAAATACAGAATTTAAATATTGTCAGAAACATTAAATTTTATATATGTAATTTCTGTAACAATCATTATTACTTTGGCATTCCTTGTTTAAAAATGCTAGCATCATTTTTGTTTACATTTTAACTATAATTAATCTGATCAGATAAGATGTATTAAGTTCCATTTTCAGTGATTGCCTGAACAGATTTAAATAAGGCAGGCATTCTGTCAAGATTTATAATTATGTATTATATAATTTTATCCAGTGCTTGGAAGATGTATTGGTAAGATGCCCAAAGAGAAGCAATCACTTAACAAAATGAAGTTGTAGTTATTCAAACAAATGACTATTTGACAACATAATTCTTTCATGTTGAACAGCAACTTTCACCATCTTTTGTGTAAGGAAAGCAGTATTTGTTCTAGAAGCTCATTCTAATTGCATTATTTTTTGAAGCTATGGCATCACATTTTTTATGTTGAAAGAAATCTGGTATGTCTAACTGCTAGCACACTCCACTGTATACAAGCAGGAATAAAATAATAATCATAAATCTTCTTAAGAATTTCTTATTCCTTTACCATGTCTATTCTTTTTAAAGATCTTCAGGAATTTTTTTTTTTTTTTGAGACGGAGTCTCACTCTGTTGTCCAGGCTGGAGCGTGACCTCGGCTCACTGCAACCTCCGCCTCCCAGGTTCAAGCAATTTTCCTGTCTCAGCCTCCCGAGTAGCTGGGATTACAGGCACATGCTACCACGCCCGGCTAATTTTTTGTATTTTTTAGTAGAGATGAGGTTTCACCATGTTGCCCAGGCTGGTCTGGAGCTCCTGAGCTCAGGCAATCCACCTGCCTCGGCCTCCTAAAGTGCTAGGATTACAGGGGTGAGCCACCGCACCCGGCAGATCTTCAGGAAATTTTCCTGAATGACTTAATTTTGATTAACAAAATGCTAATTTTATAATGTGTTTGATTCACATTATTCAAAAGTGAATAATCATTTGTAAATTGACTCATTTGAAAAATATGATAATGAAGTTTAATATTTATGAGATTTATTCATATTTTTTAGGGTGTGCAACATGATGGGGTTATTTCAGCTTTTATTTTAGATTCAGAGGGTACATGTGAAAATTTGTCACATGAAAAAATTACACGCCACTGAGGTTTGATGCACAAATGATCCTGTCACCCAGGTAGTGAGCATAGTACCCGATAGGTAGCTTTTCAGCCCATGTCACCCTTCCATCCTCCCTGCTCTAGTAGTCTCTGTGTCTATTGTTGCTGTGAGATATATTTTTAATAAAATTGTTCAAAAATAATTTATATTATTTAAATACTATTTTTTGTATTCATATTTTCGAAAACTGGAAGCTATTTTCTGAATTTTGTGGCTGCCAAACAGCTTTAACTCCAATTAAATCCCTAATTGACCTATGATGGATATTTGGTGTAACTGAAAAATAAACACCTTTATTTTAAGCCACTGATATGTTAGATGCTGTTAGTTACCACAGCAAAACTTAGTCTCTCCCAACTATGTTAGTAGGCATATTTGGAAGATTTGATTGTGGGTACATTCATTTAGGTTAGGTTTTTAATTTCTCTGAATTACAAATGCTATGACTTGCTTCTACCCAATAAAATATGACAAAGTTGACAGAATGTGTATAATTATTTTACATAAAATTGTAATGCCCATTTCTCTAAGAGACATTTATTTTCTGACTTAGAAGAAACAACCGTGCTATAAGATGTCACATGAACAGGGCCATATGGCAAGGAGCTATGGACAGGCTTTTGCCAACAGCCAGCAAAAAACTGAGGCTCTCAGTCTGGCAGCTTGTAAGAAACTACATGCTGCCAACAACTTCATGAAATTGGAAGGAGATCCTTTTCCAGCCTACCCCTGATGAGAACCCAGCTCATTCTGGCCACGTTGATTACAGCCTTGCAGGGCCCAGCGAAACCTAAATCCTGCCTGGACACCTGACCCACACAATATGCATAAATAAATAAATAATACAATTGAAGATCAGGTTCTGTGATATTTTTCTAATTCAATAACAATGGGAGATTTCACTGGCTTTGTTGCAGCAACTTTGAAGAATAATAAATTTAATGGAGATAGATTATGAAATAAACTATTCAGTAGCTTTTTCAGCCTTACATAACATGTACTCAGATGATATAAAAGATTCGATGTTTTGATATTTTAAATAATTAACAAATATTCAATGAAGAATACTTTGGACCATTTGGTGATTTCTGATCAGATTCACTGTATTGCTATGAGCTCTTTACATAATACGCACCTTTATGTATGTATATTACTCTTAAATAAAATGTGGGAAAGAGCTATATTGGTCTGAAATACAATCACATTATCTGTACATTTATTTTTACTAATATCTAGAGTAAATATTTAATACAGTAAATATAGCAATACTGACATCAGAAGTAACAATTTTCTTCTAGAGTTCATAAGTTTTCACATCTTTGTTTGAAAAGTAAATAAATATCAGAAAGCAGTAAGTTAAAATTATAAACAATAGATAGATAATTCTAAAATAGCATAGCATATCTTTCCCTTACTTTGTCTCCTGAAAGTGGAGTTAAGGATGTTTGGTTTTCCAGACTTTCTAATTCACACTGGATCTTCAAGTTCATGTATATTGTTCCAGCCTAGTCTCTTAGTTTATTATTGTATTAGTGTATTATCACACTGCTATAAAGAAATACCTGAGACTGAGTAATTTACAAAGATAGAGATTTAATTGGCTCACAATTTTGCAGGCTGTGTAGAAAGCATAGTGGCTTCTGCTTTTGAGGAGTCCTCGGGAAGCTTCCAATCATGGCAGAAGGCAGAAGGCAATATGGGAGCTGACACTTCAAGTGGTGGGAGCAGGAGAAAGAGGGTGGGGGGAGGGGGGAGGGAGAGCTTTAGGAGATATACCTAATGCTAAATGATGAGTTAATGGGTGCAGCACACCAGCATGGCACATGTATACATATGTAACTAACCTGCACATTGTGCACATGTACCCTAAAACTTAAAGTATAATAATAATAAAATAAAAAAAATAAAAAAAAGGAAGCCGGAATAACTTGCAACTTGCACTTGGATGGACAGAGCAGTATGCGAAGACTCACATCGTAAAATTTTGTTCCAAGAACCACTGCAGGAACATACCAAGAAAGCCAACAGAATCCACAGATCCTTTGAAGGCAGTGGATTGCCATTGCAGGCTCCATGGGATAGCTGAGGAACTGTGAGTCTACTTGCTTTCTCAGTTGGGATGCTTGTAGTCTGGGGTAAGTTCTCAACCCTGCGTATCAACAGCCTGGAAATAAATTCTGTGCTGATGGCAGGGGACAGTGGGAGTGAGATGGGCCTTTTGGGCTGGAGGGCTGCAGGGGAGCTAGATGAAGCCTGTGGCTTCTGCCTTTCCCCCACTTCCCTGGTAACCTGTGTGATGCAGCAAAGGCAACCATATACCCCTGGGAACAGAACTTCATTGGCCTGCAAACCACACCTTCATCCCTCCACAGCTGCTGCAGCAGGCCCTCCCCAAGGAGAGTTTAAGCTTAGACATGCCTAACCCTGTCTCCACCTAATGGTCTTTCTATACTGGCCCTGGTGGCAGAAGACAGAGGACATAATCTTTTGGGAGCTCTATGGCCCTGCCCACTGCTTTACCCTAGGGCAAGCTTGTATCCTCCCTGTGATAATGCAGCTGGTGTGCTCTTGAAAGTGCCACCTCCTGGCTGGAGGCAAACCAACAATAAGCCAATGCACTAAACAAAAATTCAACCAAGGACCCTCACAGGGTCTACTTCAATCCCCTGCTTTCTCCACCAGAGCAGGTGCTGCTATCCACGGCTGAGAGACCTGAAGATGGATCACATCACAGGACTCTTTACAGACACTCCTCAGTACCAGCCTGGAGCCTGGTAGCTCTGCTGGGTGGCTAGATCCAGAAAAGAAAAACATTCACTGCAGTTTGGCTCCCAGAAAGCCCCATGCCTAGGGGAAGGGGAAGAACAGCACATCAAGGGAGCACCTCATGGGAAAAAAGTCTCTGAGCAGAAGCCCTTGAGTACCAGATATTCTCTCTGACGTAGTCTACCCAAATGAGAAGGAAACAGAAAAACAAATCTGGCAATATGACAAAACAAGGCTCGTTAGCACCCCCAAAAGATCACACAAGCTCACCAGCAATGGATCCAAACCATGATGAAATCTCTGAATTGCCAGAAAAAGAATTTATAAGGTCAACTACTAAGCTAATCAAGAAGGCACCAGAAAAAGGTGATGTCAAACTTAAAGAAATAATAATTTAAAAAATACAGGATATGATTGGAAAATTTTCCAGTGAAATGGATAGCATAAATAAAAAACAATCAATCACTACTTCTGGAAATGAAGGGCACACTTAGGGAATTGCATTTGCATGAAACGTTTCAGCAATACAGTTGAACAAGCAGAAGAAGAACCTTCAGAGCTTGAAGACAAGGCTTTTGAATTAACCCAGTCTGACAAAGACAAAAAAAAATTTTTTAAAAAATGAACAAGGCCTCCAAAAAGTTTGGGATTACATTAAATGACCAAACCTAAGAATATTTAGTGTTTCTGAGGAAGAGGAGACATCTAAAATTTTGGAAAAAAATTTGAGGAAATAATCAAGGAAATCTTCCGAGGGCTTGCTAAAGGTCTAGACATCCAAATACAAAAGGCTCAAAGAATACTTGGGAAATTCATTGCAAAAAGATCATCGCCTAGGCACATAGTCATTGGGTTATCTAAACTCAAGAAAAAGGAAATAATCTTAGGAGTTCTGAGGCAAAAGCATCAGGTAACCCATAAAGGAAAACCTATCAGATTAACTTCAGATTTCTCAGCAGAAACCCTACAAACTAGAAGGGATTGGGGTCCTATCTTTAGCCTCCTTAAACAAAACAATTATCAGCCAAGAATTTTGTATCCGGGGAAACTAAGCTTCATAAATGAAGGGAAGATAGTCTTTTTCAGACAAATAAAAACTAAGAGAATCCACCACTACCAAACCAGCACTACAAGAACAGTTAAAAGGAGCTCTAAATCTTGAAACAAATCCTCAAAATACACCGAAATAGAATCTCCTTAAAGCATAAATCTTATGGTACCTATAAAACAACAACAAAAATAAAAATTAAATAAACAAGGTATTCAGGCAACAAATAGAATGATGAATAGGATAGTACTTCACATCTCAATATTAAGGTTGAAGGTAAATGACTTATATGCTTCACTTAAAAGATACAGAATGACAGAATGGATAAGAATTTCCCAACCAAGTATCTTCTGTCTTCAAGAGACTCACCTGACAAATAAAGACTCACATAAACTTAAGGTAAAGGGATGGAAAAAGATATTCCATGCAAATGGCCATCAAAAGCAGACAAAACAAATATTAAGAAATAGCAGTTAAAAAAGATAGAGGGGGCCAGGCATGGTGGCTCACGCCTGCAATCCCAGCACTTTGGAAGGCCAAGACAGGCTAATAATATTTGAAAATCACATACTGTACCAGCCAAAGCTGTCAAGTTTTGTGGGGCGGAGGTATGTGGGAGGAATGCATATTTGGATTTGGTGAATTCACTGTCATTCTTGGCTTGGGTAATTTATTTATATATGAACATATATAATCCCTTAACTCTTAGATAACCACTATATATAAAAAACTATTCTTTGGGAGGCTGAGGCGGGCAGATCACGAGGTCAGGAGATCAAGACCATCCTGGCTAACACGGTGAAACCCCGTCTCTACTAAAAATACAAAAAAATTAGCCTGGCATAGTGGCAGGTGCCTGTAGTTCCAGCTACTCGGGAGGCTGAGGCAGGAGAATGGCGTGAACCCGGGAGGCGGAGCTTGCAGTGAGCTGAGATTGCACCACTGCACTCCAGCCTGGGCGACAGAGCGAGACTCCGTCTCAAAAAAAAAAAAAAAGACAGAGGGACATTATATAATGATAGCAGATCTATTCTATTAGGAAAATATCACAATCCTAAATATTTATGCACCTAACACTGAAGCTCCCAAATATATAAAACAAATACAACTAGACCTAAGAAATGTGGTAGATGCCAACATAATAATAGTGGGGAACTTTAATACTCTACTGGCAACACTAGACATGTCCTCAAGACAGAAAATCATCAGGGAAACAATGGACTTAAACTATACCCTACAACAAATGGACTTAACAGATATTTGTAGAACATTCTACCCAACAACTGCAGAGCATACATTCTGTTCATCAGCACATGGAACATTTTGTAAGATAGACCTTATAATAGGCCACACAAACAGGATAGTACTTGTATAAAAATAGGCACATAGACCAATGGAACAGAATAGAGAACCCCGAAATAAAGCCAAATACTTACAGCCAACTGATCTTCAACAAAGCAAGGAAAAATATAAAGTGGGGAAAGGACACACTATTCAACAAATGGTCCTGGGATAATTGGTAAGCCACATGTAGAAGAATGAAACTGGATCCTCATCTCTTACCTTATACAAAAATCAACACAAGATGGATCAAGGACTGTAATCTAAGACCTGATGGCGTAACAATTCTAGAAGATAACATTGGAAATAACCTTCTACACACTGACTTAGGCAAAGACTTTATGACCAAGAACCCAAAAGCAAATGCAGCAAAAACAAAGATAAACAGACGGAGCTTAATTAAACTTAAAAGGTTCTCCACAGCCAAAGAAATAATCAGCACAGTAAACAGACAACCCACAGAATAGTTGAAAATCTTTGCAATCTATACTTCTGTCAAATGACTAATATTCAGAATCTACAAGGAACTCCAACAAATCAGCAAGATAAAAAACAAACAATCCCATCAAAATGTGGGCTTAGGACATAAATAGACAATTCTCAAAAAAAGATATACAAATGGCCAGCAAACATATAAAAAAATGCTCAACATCACCAACAATCAGGGGAATGCAACTCAAAACCACAATGCAGTACCACTTTACACCTCCAAGAATGGCCATAATAAAAAAATTAAAAAATAATAGATGTCGGCATGGATGTGGTGAAAAGGGAACACTTTTACACTGCTGATGGGGATGTAAACTTGTACAACCACTATGGAAAACAGTGGGGAGATTCCTTAAAGAACTAAAAGTAGATCTACCATTTGATCTAGCAATTCCACTCCTGGGTATCTAATGAGAGGAAAAGAAGTCATTCTAGGAAAAAGATACTTGCACAAGCATGTTTATAGCAGCACAATTTGCAATTGCAAAAATATGGAATCAGCCCAAATGCCCATCAATCAATGAGTGGATAAAGAAATTTGTGTGTGTGTGTGTGTGTGCGCGTGTATATATATATACACACACATATGTACACGCACACATATATATGTCTATGTATATATATGTGTGTGTATATATATGTGTGTGTATATATATATCACATGGAATATATATATCCCATGAAATACTACTCAGCCATAAAAAGGAATGAAATAATGCTATTCATAGCAATCTGGATGGAATGGGAGAGCACTATTCTAAGGGAAGCAACTCAAGAATGGAAAACCAAGCATTGTATGTTCTCACACACAAGTGGGAGCTAAGCTATGAAGATGCAAAGGCATAAGAATGACACAATGAAATTTGGGGACTTGAGGGAAAGGGTGGGGGGGGATGAGAGGTAAAAGCCTACAAATTGTGTGCAGTGCACACTGCTCGGGTGATAAGTACACCAAAATCTTAGAAATTACCACTAAAGAACTTATTCATGTACAAAAAAAAATTCCTATAACATAATGGAGCCTCATTCTCCCATGCCCTTTCAATCTTAGGGCATTTTTGTGGCTGTTAAATCATATTTTTAAAATATGTAATAAATTATGTGCACTTGGGAAAAAAAGATGTTCTTACTATTATTTTCTGTAAGCCTATGGATATGAGTATTATGTGACTGGTAAATTCGCTTATATATAATCTTCATTCACTTAGCCTTCTAAATATAAAATGTTGCAAGAGAATCACTGAATCACTTTTTATTGCAGAAATTGGATCGTGATTTCATGTTTAGCAAAAGGCCGGTTGCTCTTCTCTGTCTGATCTATGGTTGAATATATCTTCCCACAATTCACAGCAAAAGACCAACAGAATAATGTATTATTGCAATGCTGGAAATAATGCACATGAATCCATATCTATAAATCATTTGTCTAAAGTCTTTATCTCTAGTTCTCTGAGGCATATTATCAATCTTAGGTGAGCCATGGAACAGTTACTATGTCATTGCCCTGGGTGAAAGTAATTTATGACTGTGAGCAGGTTTGTTGCAGGGAAGAAGCAGCTATCTAATTTTCAGACTTTGAATTCATGGCTGTGGAGATCAGTGGAATGGAGTATACCTATCAAGATTAGTGAGTTCACTGTTAAAGATGGAATGTGAGGCAGGTAACTTGGGATCCTCAAATATGCTGTCTGTGCATTTTTGCTCATGAAAAGATTCTAATTTTTCCTCTCTCACCTCCACCGTTTATCTCTGTAATATATACAGTGATTGAAAAATCACTGCCTAACTGTTCTTTAAGATACAACTTTTGTTTCAACTTCCTCATGTACTTTTTTTGACTTCATTATCCTCTTTTATTTCCTTTATTTTGTTTTTTTGTTTGTAGAGACAAGGTCTTGTTCTGTTGCCCAGGCTAGAGTGTAGCAGCATGATCATAGCTCACTGCAACCTTGAACTCCTGGGCTCAAGTGATCCTCCCGCCTCAGCCTCCCAGGGAGCTAGTACTACAAGCATGTGCCACCATGCCATGCTAATTTTTAAATTTGTTTTTTGTAGAGATGGGATCTCACTATGTTGCCCATGCTGGTCTTGAACTACTGGCATCAAGCAATCCTCCTGCCTCAGACTCCCAAAGTTATGGTATATAGAGCCATAGTGTCCAACTCTTCCTTAATTTTTTAAAAAATTACTCATCTCAACCAAGTGAGTTGAAATTGAGTAACTTCTGCTATGTTGAAGAAATTTTTTTTCAATATTTCAATCTCAAGACAAATTACATTTTAAGGAGTGACCTTTGTATGTGTTTTATCATTCATATTCATTTAAAACATTTATTGAATGCCTTAGCATGCACCAGCCTGGCCTGTCTGCCTTTTTTTTCTTCCTTATTTCTTTTCATTCTCTCATTATTTTTCTTGCTTATTAATATTTACATAACATGTACTATATGTGTGAAGCACATGGGTAGTACATACAGACCAGTCAATATATTTGGCATACCCATCTAAAGGATTCTAGTATTAAGAAAGAGACCATAACAAATTCCATTTTAACAAACATTCTTAAACTCTTTGACACAAATGGTAAAAAAAAGGCCATGGTGCTGAAAACAGGCTCTCAATCTTGTTTCAAGTCTCCTTTAATGACGAGGGTACACTAGGGTCCTCTGCTTTGTGTGTTTTCTGGTGAGAGGTAGAGCCTAGGAAACTTAGGAAAATACTAAGTTAGGAAAATTTTCAAATATGCAAACCCAGTTCTGGAGTGGATACAGCAGTATGGTATCACTTATATGAATTGTAGCCCAGATATTTAAATTGTAAAAGCTCCAAGTTTTTCAATAGAAAAAACTTTAAAACTGAAACAGTAATATGGCCCATGGAAGAGTAAATTATCTACTCTCTTAAAGAATAGCTAGCCTATCTTACAGATCTAAAAGCACTTGCAGGGAAATTGCTTATCCCAAGTCATAGGAATGCAATCAGTGTCCATGGCAGAACGAGCCCCAGAGCAGAATTGAGCACCAGGAATTCCCAGAAGATTGGAGAACATGTCAGAGCATCAGTGAAGGGCTTAGGGGCAATACCCCTAAAAATTGAGCACCAGGATTCAGCACCAGAATTGAGCACCAGGAATTCCCAGAAGATTGGAGAACATGTCAGAGCATCAGTGATGGGCTTAGGGGCAATACCCCTGAAACTTACACCAATATCTAGGACTATCTTAAAGAGTAGGCCCATGGACTTGGACTTCTTAAAGGTGATGTGAATAAAGCAAAGGGGAGATAACTAACATTTTTGGATGCCTACTCTCTGACAAGCATCTGTTAAGATCTTTGCATGTATCATGTTACTTACTTTCTTAAACAGCATCTGAAATAAGTACTATCTCCACTTTACATTTGTACAAACTGAGGTCACACTGCATTGACAAAATCACACAGTCTTTGGGATGAAAAGTCCAAGATACCTGGTCTAGTATTTAGTGCACTGGGTGCTCTAGCATCTGGATCCTTCACACCTCTCCACCTTTATCTTCTTTTACTCGTGCCTCACATTGTAAGCTTCCTCTATACCACTCTGTAAGGATATTTCCTATCTCACTATGTTTGCTAATATTGTTTTCCTTCACAAAGATACCCTCCATGTGCATCCTTCTTCACCTTTCTGAAATCTACTAGAGTTATCTCCTCTATAAAATCCTTATACTCAGACTGGGTTAGCTGCCTCTGAGCTTATTTGATGTCCTATGGATATTTCCAACGTAGGCTTTATCCTTTTTGAAATGGAGCACCATACAAAACTGAAGGCAAGCACTCTGTCTTATTTTTCTGTGTATAAAGTGCTTAACATAAACTAAAGTGGTAACATCAGGATTCAAGTCAATGTCTCTGTTACTTTGAATGTTTAAGATAAGACATATTCACAGTAATTATGGTGCAATGAAATTAGTGAAAATCTTCATCAAAACAGTCTAGATAAAATTCTGTAAGATATTTTTTCTTTTCTAATTCCATTGGAATTTTGATAGGGATCACTTTGAATCTGTACGTAACTTTGTGTAGTACAGAAATTTTAACAATATTACTTATTCTGATCCATGGACATGATACATCTTTTCATTTACTTACATTTTCTTCAATTTCTTTTTATCAGTGTTTTACATTTTCAGTCTATGATTTCCTTGGTTATATTTATTTCTAAATATTTTATTCTTGATGCTACTATAAATGGGAGTATTTTCTAAATTTTTTTTCAGGTAGTTTTGTTAGGACATAGAAACACACAAATTTTTGTATATTGATTTTGTGTCCTTCAACTTTACTGAATTTATCAGTTCTAAGAGTTTTTTAGTGTTTTCTATATATAAGATCATGACATCTGCAAACAGAAAAGATTTCCCTCCCTCCCTCCCTCCCTTCCTTCCTTTCCTTTTTTTTTTCTTTTTTTTTGGGGGGGCTCAGACAGCGTCTTGATTTGTCACCCCGGCTGGAGTGCAGTGGCATGACCACAACTCACTGCAGTCTCACTAAATCTCCCAGGCTCAAGCAATTCTCTCAACTCAATCTCCCAAGCAGCTGGGTCTACAGGTGTGCCATCATGCCTGGCTAGTTGTATTTTTTGTAGAGACAAGGTTTCACCATGCTGCTTAGGCTGATCTTGAACTCCTGGGCTCAAGCAATCCATCTACCTCAGCCTCCCAAAGTGCTGGGACTCACAGATGTGAGACACTGTGCTTGGCCACTTTTTCTTTTTCAACTTAGATGACTTTTGTTTATTTTTCTTACCTAATTGCTCCAGCTAGGACCTTCAAAACTTAATTTTGAATAGAAGTTCTATGAGTGAGAAACTTTGTCTTGTTCCTGATCTTATGGAAAGAGTTTTCAAATTTTCACCTCTGAGAATGATGTTAGCTATGGGCTTGTCATATATGGTCTTTATCACGTTGAGGAACATTACATCTATACCTAATTTATTTAGAGTTTCAATCAGAAGAGGATGTTAAATTTTGTCAAATGCTGTTTCTTAACCTATTTAGGTGATAATATGGGGGGTTTTGCCTTCTTTCTTTTTTATTTATAGATTCAGGAGGTACATGTGCAGTTTTGTTACTTGGATATATTTTGCAGTGGTAATGTCTAGGCTTTTAGTGAACCCATCACCTGACTAGTGAACATTCTACCCAGTAGGGAATTTTTCAACCCTCACCTTCTCCCACCTTACCTCCTTTTGGAGTCCCCAGTGTCTACTATTACCCTCTTTATGTCCATGTACCCATTGTTTAGCTTCCACTTACAAGTGAGAACATGCAGTATTTGATTTTCTGTTTCTGAGTTATTTCACTTAGGATGGCCTCCAGCTACGTCCATGTCACTGCAAAAAAAAAAAAATGATTTCACTTCTTGTGGCTGCATCATATTCCGTAGTGTGTATATATATATCTTTTCCTGACCCAATCAACCATTGATGGACACTTAGATTGATTCTGTGACTTTGCTCTTGTGAATAGTGCTGTAATAAACATACAAGTGCATGAGTATTCGTGATATAATAATTTCTTTTCCTTTGGGTAAATACCCAGTTATGGGACTACTAAGTTGAAGGATATTTCTATTTTTAGTAGTTTGACAAATCTCCATACTGTTTTCCATAGAGTTTGTACTAATTGAAATTCCCACCAATATGTACAAGCATTCCCTCTTCTCTGCATCCCGACCAACATCTGTTGTTTACTGACTTTTCAATAATAGCCATTCTCTCTGGTGTGAGGTGGTACGTCATTGAAGTTTTAATTTACATTTCTCTGATAATTAGTGATGTTGAACATTATTCATGTTTGTTAGCTGCTTGTATAGCTTCTTTTGAAGAATTTTGTTCATGTCCTTTGCCCACTTTTTTATAGAGTTATTTTTTTTCTTGTTGATTTATTTGAGTTCCTTATAGATTCTGGGTATTCGTCATTTGGCAGATGCATAGTTTGCAGATATTTTCTCCCATTCTGTATTTGCCTCTTTACTATGTTGATTATTTACTTCATTGTGCTAAGAAGCTCTCTTGTTTAATTAAGTCTCATTGGTCTATTTTCATTTTTGTTGCATTTGCTTGTGAAATATTAGTCATAAATTCTTTGCTTAGGCCAATGCCTAGAAGAGTTTTTCCTAGGTTTGCTTCTAGGATTTTTATAGTTTCATCTTTAATGTATATTGATTCAATATTTGTATGTAGTGAGAGATAAGAGTCCAGTTTATTTCTCTGCACATGGCTATGCATTTTTTCCAGCACCATTGATTGAGTAGGGTGTCCTTTCCCCATTGTGTATTTTTGTCAACTTTGTTGAAGATCAATTGACTGTAGTTATGTGGCTTTATGTCTGGGTTCTCTATTCTATTCCATTGATATATTTGTCTACTTTTATATCAGTACCACACTGTTTTGGTTACAATAACCTTATAGTGTAGTTTGAAGTCAGGAAATGTTACAGTTTTAGATTTGTTCTTTCTAGGATTGTTTTGGCTATTTGGGCTATTTTCTGGTTCCAAAGTTTTTGGATAATTTTTATTAATTGTGTAAGAAAAGATGGTAATTTGATAAGGATTACATTAAATCTGTAGATTGCTTTGGGCAATGTGGTCACTTAAATGACCTATCCATGAACGTGAGATGTTTTTCTATTTGTTGCGTCTGTGATTTCTTTTCTTTCTTCTTTTTTTTGTAGCTTAAACACAAATTTATTTTTCATAGTTCTGGAGCCTGGGAAGTCCAAGATCAAGCTACTGGCACTTCTATCGTCTGGTGAGGGCCTGCTTGCATCCTCATTTGCAGATAGCAGTCTTCTCACTGTATCTTCACATGGCAGAGAGCACAGAGAAAGGAAGCAAACTCTTTCCTGTCTCTTCTTACAAGGGCACACTTTCATCAGTGTTTTATCCTTTTCCTTGTAGAGATCTTTCACCTCCTCTGTTAAATGCATTCTGTCGTATTTTACTTATTTATTTTTGTGTCTGTGTAAATTGAATTGAGTTCTTGATTTAGTTCTTAGTTTGAATGTTATTGGTATTTAGAAATGCTATTGATTTATGTATGTTAATTTTGTATGCTGAAACTTTACTGAAGTCACTTATTAAATCTAAGAGCCTTTTGGAGGATTCTTTGGGGCTTTCTTGGTATACAATTATGCCGTCAGTGAACAGAGATAATTTGGCTTTCTCTTTTCAAATTTGAATGCCTTTTATTTCTTTCTCTTGCTTGATCTATATAGGAATTTTAGTGCAGTGTTTAATAGGAGTGGTGAGAGTGGGCATTCTTACCTTGTTCCAGTTCTTAGGGAAAATGCTTTCAGCTTTTCCCTACTCAGTATAATGTTGGCTGTGGGTTTGTCATATATTGGTTTTATTATTTTGAGGCTTATTCTTTTGATGCCTAGTTTGTTGATATTTTTTATCAGGAAGGGATGCTGGATTTTATATAATGCTTTTCCTGCATCAGTTGAGGTAATTATATGGTTTTGCATTTAATTCTGTTTATGTGGCAAATCACATTTATTGACTTGTGTATGCAGAACTATCATAACATCTCTGGAATAAATTCCACTTTATCATAGTGTATTATATTTTTAAAGTGCTATTGGATTAGTTTTCTATCATTTTGTTAAGGGTCTTTGCATCTATGTTCATCACGAATATTGGCATATAGTTTCCTTTTTTTATAATGCCCTTGCCAAGTTCTGGTATCATGTTGATACTGGTTTCATAGAATTAGTTAGGAAGGATTCCTTCCTCCTTGATTTTTTGGGATAGTTTCTGTAATATTGGTGCCATCTCTTCTTTGTACATCTGGCAAAATTCAGCTGTGAGTCCATCTGGTACTGAGCTTTTTTTTGGTTGGTCATATTTTTTTAATGCTGATTCAATTTCACTATTAATTGTTGGTCTGTTCAGGATTTCAACTTTTTTTCTAGTTCAATTTTGACATGTCGTATGTTTCCAGGAATTTATGTATTTCCTTTGGTTTTCTAGTTTCTGTGCACAGAGATATTCACAGTAGTCCCTAATGATCTCGTGTATTTCTGTGGTATCAATTTTGATGTAAACTTTACCTCTTCTGATTGTGCTTATTTAAATATATTGTTTTTGGTTAATCTAGCTGTCAGTCTATCAATATTATCTTTTCAAAGACTTTCTTTTTGATTTTTTATCCTGTGAATCTTTTTACTTTTTTGGTCTAAAAATCATTTAGTTCTGCACTGATTTTTTTTTCTACTACTAGCTTTAGGTTTGGTTTAGTCTTTTTTTTTTCTAGTTCTTTGAGGTGGGAAATTTGATTGTTAATTTAAAATCTTTCTATCTTCTTGATGTAGGCATTTAACACTATAAACTTTTCCTTTTAGGACTGAGTTTGCTGTATTCCATAGGTTTTGGTATGGTGTGTTTCTATTCGCATTCATTTCAGAAATTTTTTGCTGTCTATTTTTGTTGTTTACCTAAAAGTCATTAAGGAGAAGTTGTTTTCCGTCTATGTACTTGTGTGGCTGAACATTGTTTGTATTAATTTCTAATTTTATTCCACTGTGGTCTGAGAAGATACTTCATATAATTTCAATTTTTTTGGAATTTATTGATATTTGCTTTATGGCCAAGCATATGGTCTACTTTGAAGTATATTCCATGTGCAGATGAGAAAAATTGTATTCTGCATTTGTTGGGTAAAATGTATTGTAAATGTCTATTAGGTCCATATGATCTAGAGTCCATTTATGTCCAGAATTTCTTTTTTGATTTTCTGCATCATTGATATTTCTACTCCTTCAGTGGGATATTGCAGTCCCCACTATTATTGTATTCCTTTCTGTCTCTGTTCTTAGTTCTTGTATTATTTGTTTTATGAATCTGGATGGTATGGCATTGGGTGCATATATACTCAGGATAGTTATATCTTCTTGTTGAATTGAAACCTTTATTATTATATAATGCCTTTTTTGGTCTTTTTTATTGTTGGTGTTGATAAAATCATAGCTACTCCTGGTTGTTTTTGTTTCCATTTGCATGGTATATCTTTCTTCATCCCTCTACCTTGAGTCTGTGATTGTCTTTACCTCTCTGATGTGTTTCTCGTAGGCAGCAAAGGGTCGAATCTTATTGATTTTTATTTAATTTGCAATTCTATACTTTTAAGTGGAGCATTTAGTCCTTTTATTTTCAGTGTTAATACTGATACGTGAGGTTTGGTTCCTGTCATTGTTACCTAGTTGCTTTGTAGTCTGAATTGTATAATTTCTTTATAGTATCTGTGAGCTTTGAATTTTTGTGGAAAAATCATAGACGCAACAAATAGAAAAACATCTCACGTTCATGGATAGGTCTAGTTTATTCTTCTTCTTCTAGTTCATTGAAGTGTAAAATGAGATTGTTTATTTGAGATTTTTTTTAATATAGGCATTTATTGCTATAAACTTCCATCTTATAACTGTCTTTCTGCATTCCATAAGTTTTTGGTATGTTGTGTTTTCACTTTTTTTTGCTTTAAGGTATTTTTTATTTTCTTTATAATTTCTTCTTTGACCCATGATTGTTAAAGAGGGTTTCTGAATTTTCACATATTTGTGAATTTTCCAATTATCTTCCTGATATTGATTTCTAATTTCAGACCATTATGCTAGGAAAATAAATTTGATATAATTTTAAACTTCTTAAATTTCTTAAGGCTTGTTTTGTGACCCAACATATGACCCATTCTGGAGGATTCTTCATGTCCACTTGAGAAGAATGTGTAGTCTGCTGCTGTTGGATGGAAGGTTCTGTATATGTCTGTTAGATCCATTTGCTCCTTAGTGTTATCCAAGCGTCATTCTGCTCTTTCCTTATTGATTTCTGTCTGGATGACTTATCTATTATTGAAAGTGATATATTGAGATCCATCCATTTTGTGTTTCTGTCCATTTCTTCCTTCAGTTCTGCTGATATTGGTTTTATATATTTAAGTGCTGCAATAGAGGGTACATATATATTTATAATTGTTATATTCACTTGATGATTTTTACCTTTTGTCAGTTTATTATAATCTTTTTTTGTCTCTTGTGACAGTTTCATATAGAATCACAAAAGACCCTGAATAGCCAAGGAAATTTTGATTAAAGAAAACAAAACTGGAGGCATATTTTATCTGATTAAAAATATATTACAAAGTTACAGTAATCACAACAGTATAGTACTGACATAAAACTACACATGCAGACCAGTGAAGCAGAACAGAGAGCCTAGAAAAAAATCCGCACATTTACAGTCAAGTGATCTTTGACAAAGATGCCAAGAACACATAACGGGGAAAAATAGTCTCTTCAATAAATGCTATTGGGAAAACTGGATATCCACTTGCAGAAGAATGAATTTGGATCCTTATCTCAAACAATATACCAAAATCATCTAAAAATGGATTAAAGACTTAAGACCTGAACCTATAAAACTTCTAGAATAAAACATAGGGGAAACAGCTTCTTTTGACATTTGCCTGGGTAATGGTTTTTTGGTTATAACCTCAGAAGCAGAGGCAACAATGGCAAAGATAGACAAGTGAGATTTCATCAAATTAACTAGCTTCTGCACAGCAAAATAAATGATCACCAGAGTAAAAAGAAAGCCTACTGAATGAAGAAAATATTTCCAAACCATACATCTGATAAGACATTAATATCAAAAACATATAGGGAACTCCTACAATTCAATAGCAGAAAACAAATAACTTGATTAGAAAATAGGCAAAGGACATATTTCTTCATAGAATACATACAAATTATCAACAGGTATATGAAAAGATGCTCTATTGGGTTATTCTTGCATTGCCATACATAAATATCTGAGACTAGGTAACTTATAGAAAAATAGGTTTAATTGGCTCACAGTTTTGCAGGCTGTAAAGGAAGCATAGCACTGGCATTGCTTTAGGGAGGCCTTAGGAAGCTTACAATCATGTGTTTTTTTTCACCGTTAAAATGGTTTAATGTCAATGAAAGATGAGATCAGAGATTTACAAGCAGATTTCAGAACACAAACATTGATTCCTAAATGGTTTCTCTCCCTATCAGAAGCCTAAATATGAACATATACAAATCTTAGAGGTTTTTTTAAAAAGCATGTTTTTAATTTCATTTTATTACATCTACAGTTGACAAACATGCAAAGGAGGAGCAGGTTTCTCACATGGTGGAAGCAGGAGCAAGAGAGAGAATGGGGACTGTTGGGGAGGGAGTACACACTGTAAATGACCATATCTTGTGAGAACTCACTATCTTGAAGACAGCACCAAGCCATAAGGGATCTGCCCCCATGATCGAAACAGCTCCCACCAGGCTCCACCTCTAGCATTGGGGATTACAATTCAACATGAGATTTGAGTGGGGAACAAATATCCAAATTATATCAGATGCTCAGTATCACTAGTCATAAGAGAAATATGAACAAAAACCACAATGAGACATCACTTCACATATGTTAGAATGGCTAGTATCAAAAAGACAAAGATAACAAGCGTTGATGAGGATGCAAAGAAAAGGGAACCCTTGCACTCTGTTAGTGGGAATGTAAATTGGTCCAACCATTATGGAAAAAAGTACAGAGGAGGGATATTTGCTAAGAGAGTGGATTTTAAGTGTTCTCTCTATCACTCACAACATATACAAACACACAGTGATTATGTGAGGTGTGAGGTGTGCTAATTAGCTTGATTGTTGTAATCATCTCACAATGTATAGAAATATCAAAATATCACATTGAACTCCTCAAATATATACAATTTTTATTTATCAGTGTATACCCAAATGAAGCTAGAAAACATAAACATGAAATAAAATTATCCAATGAGCAAAAATAATAATAGTAATAATAATAATTCTCTGTGAATACACAAGTAGGGATTATTCATATATTGTAGTTCTCCACAAGACTAGAAGAAAGTTGGCCTATTTCTCACAGTACTCTTCTTTTCCCAAAGTTAAGTAATTTTATTTTTTTAAATGATTTGCCTTTTTATTACTATATTTTTTGGCTAATAATACTTTACATGACACCCACTCAACAAATTTTTAAGTGCACAAGTCAGTATTGTTAACTATAGGCAGATGTTTTACAGAAGATATCCAGAACTTATTTATCTTGCATAAATGTAACTTTATACCACTTGCACAGCAAATTTTCATTTCCTTCTCACAGCCCCCTGAAAACCGCTATTTTACTCTCTGTTTTCATGAGTTTGACTATTTTAGATACCTCATATAGGTGATATCATGAATGGCCTATTTCACTAAGCATAACTTCCTCCAGATTCATTCATATTGTTACTCATAGCAGGGTTTTCTTCTTTTTTAAGGCTGAATAATATTCCATTAGGTGTATATACCATATTTTTTAATCCATTTATCTGTCAATAGACATTTAGGTTGTCTTCGTATCTTGGCTATTGTAAATAATGTTGCAATGAACATGAGAGTGCAGGTATCTTTTTAACCTACTTTTGGATATAATCACAGAAGTGTGATTGCTGAATTATATGGAAGTTCTATTTTTAACGTTTTGAAGAAACTTCATATTGTTTACTATTGTGGCTTCACCATTGTACATTCTACCAATTATGTACAAATATTCCAATTTTTCTACATCTTCGCCAATACTTAAAAAAAGTTTTGATAATAGCCATCCTACTAGTGTAAGGTCATATCTCATTATGGCTTTAATTTGATTTTTCTTAATGATTAATGGTTTTGATCATTTTAAAAATATAACTCTTGGCCATTCGTATGTCTGCTTTGAAGAAATGCCTGTTCAGGAGTCCTTTGTGCATTTTTTATAGATTTTTATTTTTTTGCTATTGAGTAGTAGGAGTTTCTTATATATATTTGGATATTAACACTTTATTAGACGTATGGTTTTTAAATATTTTCTCCCATTTCATTACAGCTAAACAATTCTTATCCCAAGTTGGAGAATTTTCCTGTTTATTAATGGTCCCTGTATTCAGAAAGTATTCATAAGAATAAGCCCCATAGTAGTTGGTCAATATCTGGTTTTGAGATGAAGCAGACTTCTTAAGTCAGTGATGGAATCAATACAATTTCCATCATTTCTTACACCAAATTTATTCTTTATTAATAGGGAAATGAATATAGCTTTGTTTACTGATGGCATTTTTAGATGAACATATTGACTGACATACAATTTCTCTTCTTGTAAAAGTTCTGTTCATTAATAATTTCTCTTATTCTTAATAATTACATGTATTTTTGTTATATAATTTTAAATAAACCTTAATTGCATTATTTTCTTGTAAATATGATTTTAATGTTATTGAAACTTCTAGATTTTGTAAAAAATCTTTCTGGGAAGAAGAGGTTAGAATTTATAAAACTTCATAAGCACTCTAAAGATAAGAATTCACTAATTTCTAACAGAAGAAGTTAAAATCTTTATGTAAAGGATTATTTTCGTTAAATACTGGCAAAGGTTATCTGCTTGACTAAAATTTAGTTAGCCCTCTCCTCTTCTATCTGTGTACTTTCTTCTACAGTCCAGTTTTAGCAAAGAACCTTTCTAAGTCAGTTTAGCAAGAACCCTCTTTCTTTGATATCAGATCACCTTTGATATCTGATCATGTTCTTCATCCTCCACCACACCCCAAGTAATGTCCGATCATCCCTGACTCTCTTCAGCAAGAACAGAACACTATTAAGTCAGTTTAACGAGAATCCCCATTACCCTTAATTCTTTTTCTTAATCAGCTTCCATCTATTGATTCTTACCATGTTCCTTAGCTATAAATTCCCACTTGCCCACGCTGTACTCAAAGTTGGGTCCAGTACCTCTCCCTGGCTACAAAACCCCATTGCGATAGTCCCTATACCTATCATGATGGTCCTGAATAAAATCTTCCTTATCATGCTATAGCAAGTACTACTGAATATTTTTTATTTAAAAATACAAAGAAAGATTTCTGGAAAGTAAAGTATGATATGCATGAGCAAATAATAGACTGAAGCTTTACAGCCTCATTTTTATTAAACAGTAGAGATTCCTATCTGGTTTAGAATAGCTCAATTTGGATAATGTCTGTTAAGAAGTGGATGAGGTAAAGATATTAACTGGATGCCTTCTAGAAGAACTTTTCAAGGTTATGGCAGGGTTTATGAATTCATTAAATAAATGAACAAAGTAATAAGGTGAACAAAGTAATAAGGTAAACATATCAATTCTTTTCATTTTTTATACTTGAGAGTTTTCAAGGGTTAAAACAAGGGTTATAGAAATCTGGCTTCTTCCTAAGTACTTTCAACAGAGAAGAATAGTGACCAATAGTTTGTAGAGAAAAAAGCCAAAGAGAAGAGTTTTATGTAATGTAACTACCATGAATTGATGCTATTATGGTGTCACTTTCTAAAAATAAGTCTTCATTAATATTTTTAAATAGTTTGCTGTGAGTAAAGTATGGTAGGCCCATTAATGCCCCCCCCCCACCAAATGTGGCTACATGCTTATCCCTGGAACCTATGAACATGTTATCTTACATGGCAAGATGGAATTTTGCAGATAAAATTAAGGTTGCTAATAGCTGACATTAAAATCAGGAGACTATCCTAAATTATCTGATAGATCCACTGTAATCACATGGACCCTTAAAAGCAGATGATAAAGGCAGAAGGCTCAATGAGATAAATGTGATGAGGGAACAAGAGGCAGAAGAAATTTGAAATTTGAAAGGGACTTGACTCATAGTTGTTGGCTTTGACGATGGACAAAGGGGGCCATAAGCCAAGGAATTCAAACAGCCACCAGTGAAATGGGGTATGGCTATCCTATAATTGCAAGAAATTATATCTTGCCAACAATCTGATTGAGCAAAGAAATGGATTCTACCCTAGAGCTTCCAATTGGGAATGCCATTTGGATGATACCATGATGAGACCCTATTGGACTATGACTAACAGAACTGTAAGATAACAAATGTGGGTTGTTTAAGCTGCTTAATTTGTGGCATTTTGTTTTGTCAAGAGCAGAAAACTAATATAGCATGCAATTTCTTATATAACAATATTTAACTACTTATAATCAATGACATACAAAACACTCATGAAGAGTTTTATGCATTTAGTATTCTAATTTAAGAAAAATGGTTCAAAATAATAAGTAAAGGTATGAATTTTCTTTTTATGCCCAGGAAAAGTAGGCTCTGGAAAACCACAGGGTCATGGAAATGATATGAGTCATGACAATCATTCCCAATTCTCTGAACTTAAGGCCTCACCTGGCCACAGATCTATCAGTCTGACTGACAAATGCTAGGACTGTAGGTGTTAGCAGAAAAGAATGCAAAGGGAGGGAGAAATGGGGTCCTCCTGGGAATGTACAGCATAATTTGAAACAGAGATTTGATAAGTGTACCAGTTATCAGATTAAAGAAGTTTGTACAAATACCTACCTTTCAGGCATGTTTCTAATATCAGAGAACTGCTGAGAATATTTGGCAAGAAATGGCACAGGGCTGCTTTTTCACACTGTCCACTTAGACTCAGGTCTCTTTTCATCTGGGTTTGGCTGCCCTTGCTGCCATACTTATTTTGAGATATCACTTGTTCTCCTATCATGCCATCTCCATCTGACCCATTCGCTGGAAGATCTGAAACAGTTTCAGGCTGAGTAGCATGTTAGGGTATGCCTAGTGCATACCTAAGCAGCTATTAGCCAGAAGACATGCATTGTGATCTTGATTTATTCCCATTATTTAAATATTTACCAGGATGACAAGTGCTGAACTCTGTGTTCTGTGCTTCATCACTAAGACAATTCCCCAAAGAGAAACAGCAGTGGAAAAGCACAGATACCAATTCTTGAAAAATGAGCTTTTGTTTGCATAAAGAGTTAAGTTGCAGAAATAATAAACTAAGTTATAACCGTACAAACCTCATGTGACTGTACACAGGCAAAGAGAAATTCTTTTTATGGTTGCTAATATTATTACTTTGTTTCTTAAGTACTTCAGGAGTCCCTGTTTCCAGTAAGATGCAACACATAGAAACATTCCATTTTGAGGCAGGAGAATTGCTTGAACCCGGGAGGCAGAGGTTGCAGTGAGCCGAGATTGCACCATTGCACTCCAGCCTGGGCAACAGGAGTGAAATCTGTCTCAAAAAAAAAAAAAAAAAAAAAAAAGAAAGAAAGAAATAAAAAAAGAGAAACATTCCATTTTAAACAAATTTTACACAAATTTTTTCAAGCACAAAGGTACACATTGATTTCAGGCATGAAATTGAATTAATAATTCTCCACCATCACATAACTTGAATGTGGTAAAACAGGTTTTACTTACTTTACTGCATAAAAAAAATTCTGCTGCAACATGGAAGATACTGTCTAAGAGTAGGTTCTATTACCAATCTGTACCACTTCAGTATTGAATACTTACAGGAATTCTTTATTGCAATATGATAATAAGCAAATTAAATTTTGTAGTAAAATGACAAAGGCAGTGGTTAAAATTTAGGTGTGAATGTTAAATGTCCATTTAAAAGGGTGGATAGAATTGAAGGTTTATCAAAGTAATTGTGGTCACCAATGTTGAGAAAACAGAATAAAGACAGACAAAGACAAACGGAGATGACACTTGAACAGAAGGAACAGTAAAGGTTTCTGGGTTGTTTCTTCAAGATGGCTGACTAGTGATGTTGAATGCCAGTTCTCCTCAGAAAGTAGATCAAAGTAATAGAGGATTGGCCACGGTCCAAGTGGAAAACCGAGGGAAGAGAGCAATGATCTGTCAGAGAGCCCATGTGAAGAAGCTGGGATGCAGAAAAGCAAAGGGTAGGTGGAGTTGCTTCTCTGCTCCCCTCATCCCTGGGACAATCTGCTGACTGCTAAATTGCTGGAGAGTTTTCTTCACCCTCACAACCTGGCTATGATGGTGGCAATTTGGAGACTTCCCAGAGACAGAGAACCAGGTTGCCACCTCATGCAGGGGAACCCACATTCCCTCAGGCCTTAACTGAGATAGAGGGCAACATACTGTTTTTATACCTACTGTGGGCTACTGCCCTATCTGGAGAACCTCAGCTGTTCGGTCACCACATCACGAGGTCCCCTGCAAATATAGTCCACGACTCAATCTGACTTTGGAAACCACAGGGACTGGTGTGTCCCTGGAAAGCTGCAGGATGCCTGAAGATCTAACCCTTGACATGGACTGCCCTGAAGGGAGGAGGGAACACAGCTCACCAAAGCCCCCCTTGGGACAAGGGGAGATGTGGACACAGTGGCAAATGCCAAAGGGAGTGGGACCAGTGGGCAGGAACATATATGCAGAGGGGGTTATCTCTTGCTCCCCCTAACCACTATTTTAGAAGTAGCAGAGGCTCTCCTGCTGGTGGCCAGCATGTGTGCACTTGGAGAAAGGCTTTGGAGTTATTTTCATGGTGACTGCACCCCTGTTGAAAGTGATCGTGTGCAGTAGGTGCATCCATAAATGATGAGGATTATCTTCCCTTCTCTAAACAGACTGGCAGTGTCCTGGCAATGGAAGGCAGATACACCACAAGGTTTTCTGCTCTGCACTGGAGAAAGAGGCTCTGCCCTGAGCCCATTTCAGTGGTAGCCACCAGAGGGGCATATCTGTAGCCTGCAGCTGCACTGTGACCTGAAATAAAAGGACAATGTCTATTTGAATTGAAGATTGCAAGCTTGCAACAGGGGCATGATAGGGAAGTGGATCACATTTCTGTCTGTGGAAGACAAAGAGCTGATGCATGTACTTGGGCCCCATCCCCTGAGACCTTAGTGCACTCCCTCAAAATTTCCCCTGGTCAATCCCCATTAAGGTGAGTGCCTTCACTCATTATTGGGCTATGCAAAGATGAGTTGGTTCTTATTCTTAAGCACCAAGGACAGGAATGGTGACTGAACTGCACAGTCAAATAAAAAACCTGTCTCAGAAGGGCATAACGGTAGCGTATAAGATAAGCTTCCTACACCTTTCAGCTTTTAGCCCCACAAGACATAGTATGTCAGCCCATATGTTCAATATATTGCTACAACAAGCAGCATTAGAGCAAGTCACCACACAAAAGCTATACACAACCATGGAACCCATATCAAGTCTAGGCCCTGAAAGCATCCAGAAACTAAGCCAAGCAATCATATGCAACATACACCCCACTCATATTCTCAAGAGGAAAAAATAACAAAAAAAAAAGTCCCATCCAAACGACAGCAAATTCAGAAATAAGAAGTAATAACACCTTCAGATGAGAAGAAATCAGTGCAAAAACTCTTACAGTAAAAAAATACAAATAAAAAGAAAGAAAAAGATGATTTGACACCTCCCACAGATCAAACTAGTTTTCTAGCAATGGATCCTAATTGAAATAAAAATTCTGAAATGACAGATTAAGAATTCAAAATACAGATTGCAAGAAAGCTCAGTGAGATCCAAGAGAAAGTAGAAAATCAACACAAACCAGAAAAATAATTAAGGATATCAAAGATAAGATAGCTATATTTTTTAAAAAAGAGCTTCTGGAATCAAAGTACTTACTAAAGTAGTTTCAAAACACAATTTGAAATAATAATCCGAGCAGAACAAGGAATTTCAGAGCTTGAAGATCAGTCTTTTGAATTTACCCAGTCAGACAAAAATAAAGAAAAGAGACTTTTAAAGAATGAACAAGGCATTTACGAAATATTAGATTATTTAAGGCAACCAAACTACATCTTATAGGAATTCCTGAGAAAGAAGAAGAAAAAGTAAACAACTTGGAAACATACTGGAGGGAATAAATTAGAGAAATTTTGCTGATCTTGAGAGAGAGGTAGACATCCAGATACAAGAAATTTAGAGAGACAGCACCTACAAGACACTATAAAAGATGAACATCAACAAGCCATATAGTCATCAGACTATCCAAGGTCAAGGCTAAAGGAAAAAATCTTAAAGGCAGCTAGATAAAAGAGCTGAATCACCTATAAAGGTGATAATCCCATCAGACTAACAGTGGACTTCTCAGTAGAAACCTTACGATCCAGAAGAGGCTGGGGGTCTATTCTCATACTTCTTAAGAAAAAAAATGTCAGCCAAGAATTTTATATCCTGCCAAATTTAGCTTCACAATCAAAAGAGAAATGAAGTCTTTCTCAGGCAAGCAAACGTGAAGGGAATTCATCACCAATAGACTGGTACTACAAGAAATGCTCAGAAACATTCTAAACATGGAAATGAAAGAACGGTCTTTGCTACCATAAAAACACATGTAAGTACAAAGTTTACAGGTCTTGTAAAGAAACTGCACAATCCAGAATACAAAGCAAATAGCTAATAGCACTATGCCAGAAATATAACCTCAACATCAGTATTAACTTTGAAAGTAAATCGTATAAACATTCCACTTAAAAAAATAGATTGGCAAATTGGAATGAAAAACAAGACCCAACCATCACTGCCTTCAAGAGACCCACCTAACATGTAATAATAACATCACATACTCCAAAAGTAAACGGGTGCAAAAGATATATCCTGCAGATGTAAAAGAGAAAAGAGCATGGGTTGCTATTCTCATATCAGATAAAATAGACTTTAAAGCAACAAAAGTAAAAAAAGACAAAGAAAGACGTTATGTAATGATAAAGATTTCAATTCAACAAAAAGATAAAACTATTCTAATTATATACACACCCAACACTAGAGAACCCAGATTCATAAAACAATTACTACTATACATTAGAAAAGAGATAGACAACCATACAATAATAGTCGGGGGAATTATATACTGCACTGACAGTATATACAGATCACTGAGGCAGAAAACTAACAAAAAATCTCTGGACATAAACTGGCCTCTTGACCAAATGAACTTAATAGGCATTTACAGAACATTCTACTCAACAGCCACAGAATATATTATTTGCTCATCTGCACATGGAACATTCTCCAAAATAGATCATATTCTTGGCCATAAAGCAAATATCAATATATTTAGAAAAGAAACCATCATATCAATCATCTTCTCAGACCACAGTGAAATAAAATTAGAAATCAATACCAAAAGAAACCCTCAAAGCCACAAAAGTACATGGAAACTAAACAACCTGCTCCTTAATTATTTTAGGATAAGCGATGAAAATAAGAAATAAATGTTTAAAAACTTTAAAAAATGAAAATAGAAAAACAACATATCAAAATCTCTGGGATACAGCAAAAGCAGTGTTTAGAGAAAAGTTTGTAGTGCTAAATTCTTAAATCAAAAGCATAGAAATATCTCAGATAAACCACCTAATGGCACACCTCAAGGAACTAGAAAAAGAAGAACTAACCAAACCTAAATCTAGCAGCAGAATAAACCAAGAAAGAAAGATTGGAGCAGAACTAAATGAATTGAAACCAAAATGACCATTCAAAGGGTCAACAAAATAAAAAGTTGGTTCTTTAAAAGGATAAACAAGATTGACAGACCACTAGCTAGATTAACCAAAAAGAGAGAGTGGATTTAAATAAACACAATCAGATGTGTTTATTTATTTAAAAAGATGACATTAGAACTGTTACCACAGAAATGCTAAAGATCGTTAGAGACTACTATGAATATCTCTATGCACACAAACTAGAAAACCTAGAGAAAAAATGGATAAATTCTAGGAAACATACAAGCTCTCAATAGTGAACTAGGAGGAAATTGAAATACTGAACAGACCAATAATGAGTAATGAAATTGAATTAAAAATTTAATAATCTACCAACCAAAAAAAGCCAAGGACCAGGCAAATTCAAAACTGAATTTTACCAGATACACAAAGAAGAGCTGGTAACAATCCTACTGAAGTTATTCCGAAAAATTAAAGAGGAGGGATTCCTTCTTAACTCTTTCTACAAAACCAATATCATCCTGATACCAAAATCTGGCAAGGACACAACAAAAAGAAAACTACAGGGCAATATCCATGATGAACATAGACTGAAAAATTCTCAACAAAATACCATCAAACTGAATCCAGCAGCACATGAAAAAGATAATTCATTACAGCCAAGTAGATTTTATTCCAGAGATACACGAATGGCTCAACATAAGCAAATCAATAAATGTGACTCACCATACAAAGAAAATTAAAAACCAAAACCCTATGCTTATCTCAATAAATGCAGAAAAAGTGTTCAATATAATCCAATATCTTCTCATGATAAAAGCTCTCAACAACCTAGGCATTGAAGGAATTTACCTCAAGATAATAAGAGCCATATGTGACAAACACCCAGCCAACATCATACTGAATGCAGAAAAGCTGAAAATGCTACCCCTAAGAACTTGAACAAGACAATGATGTGACAGGGAAAGTCCTAGCCAGAGCAATCAGCCAAGAGGAAGAAATAAAAGCCATCCAAATGGAAGAGGAAGTCAAATAATCTCTGTTTGCTTAAAAACTCCAATGAAAACTTTAGTTTTCTTGCTTTAAAAGAAAACTGTAAACATTCCTCCAAAATATTCTTAGGATTGATAAATGATTTCAGTAAAGTTTCAGGATACAAAATTAACGCACAAAAGTCAACTGCGTTTCTATACAACAACAATGGTAAAGCTGAAAACCAAATCAAGAACTCAATCCCATTTACAATAGCCACATACAAAAAAACCTAGGAATACATTTAACCAAAGAGTTAAAAGAATTCTGCAATAAGAAGTACAAAACACTGATGGAAGAAATTGAGGATGACACAAGCAAGATGTCACATCCTCATAGATGGGAAAAATAAATATAATATTATTATAATAATTATATGCCCAAAGCAAACTACAGATTTAATGCCATCCTTATCAAATTACCAATACTATTTTTAAAATAATTAGAAAAAACAATACTAAAATGTATATATTGAAACAAAAAAGAGCCTTAATAGCCAATGCAATCCTAAGCAAAAAGAACAAGGCTGGAGGCATCACATGACTTCACTTGAAACTATACTACAAGGCTATAGTAAACAAAAGAGCATGGTACTGGCACAAAAATAGACACATAGATCAATGGGACAAAATAGATAATCCAGCCATACAGCCACATGCCTATGACCAATTGATCTTAGTTAAAGTTGACATAAATAAGCAATGGGGAAAGACACTATTCAATAAATGGTTCTAGGGAACCTTGCTAGCCACATGCATAAGAATGGAGCAGGATGCCTATTTCTCACCGTATATGGAAGTTAAGATGAATTAAAGATTTAAATGTAAGACTGGAAACTAAAACAATTCCCAAAGAAAACCTAGCAACAACTATTCATGACATTGGCCTAGGCAAAGAATTTATGAATAAGACTTCAAAAGCAAATGCAACAAAACAAAATATAGACAAATGATACTTAATTGAACTAAAGAGATTCTGAAGAGCAAAAGGAACTATTAACATAGTAAATAGGCAACCTACAGAATGGTGGAAAATATTTGTAAACTATGCATTTGAAAAATGAATAATATCCAGAATCTATAAGGAGCTCAACAAATCAACAAGAAAAAAAAATAATTCCATTAAAAAGTGGGCAAAGGACATGAGTTACTTCTCAAAAGAATACATACAAGTGGCCAACAAACATATGAAAAAATGCTCCAATCAATAATCAAAACCACAATGAGATATCATCTCACGGCAATCAGAATGACTATTATTAAAAAGTCAAAAAATAACAAATGTTGGTGAGGATGTAGAGAAAAGGGCATGCTTATACACTGTTGGTGGGAATTTAAGTTAGTACAACCCCTACTGAAAACAGAATGAATGTTTCTCATAGAACTAAAAATAGAACTACCATTTGACTTAGTAATTCCACTACTGGGCATCTACCCAAAGGAATATAAATTGTTTTACCAAAAAGACTCCTCCACTCATATGTTCATCACAGCACTATTCACAAGAGCAAAGTCATGGAATCAACATAAGTCTCCATCAATGATTGCTGAATAAAGAAAATGTGGCATACATACCATGGAATACTGCACAGCCATAAAAAAGAGAATGAAATCATATATTTTGCAGCAACATGGAAGGGGCTGAAAGCTATTACCTTAAATGAAATAACTCAGAATAAGGAAAGTTAATATTGCATGTTCTCACTTATAAGTGGGAGTTAAATAATGGGTACACACGAACATAAAAATGAAGATAATAGACCCTGGGGACTCCAAAATGGAGCAGAATATGAGGGGAGCAAGGGTTGAGAAAGTACTCATTGAGTATTATGTTCACTATTTGAGTTATGGGTTCAATAGAAGTCGAATCTTCAGCATTATGCAATATAACTATATAGGAAACCTGCACATGTACCCCTTGAAGCTAAAATAAAATCAAATCAAATTTTAAAAAGTTTCTGGACAATAACGATGTAATTCCTGGATCCAGTCATGCCTGAGTACAGATAATTTCTGAACTTTACTCTTTGTGAGTCAAGACATTATAATACCTTTTGCACAAACCAATTTAAATTAGGATTTTGTCCTTTGCCATTAAATAAATATTATATGTAATAAATTCAAATTGAGTCATCAGCACTCACTCTATAAATCACAGATTTGAAAGATGAAAGACAATATCATGCATTATCCCAAGATTTTAGGACAGAAAACATGTGGGTATAAAATGATGTCATTTCATGTGTCAAGATACACTGTCAACGAGCTTTATAAACAAAATATATTAAAATTATTTTAGAAGACGAGACTATATTTGTAGCCAGAACAGTGAATAAAAGCTGAATGAACAGGATTGACATTTCTCCAGGAATGTTGGTAGAATTCAAATTAAATTTAAAATTTGTGGTTTTGATGGATTCCAACTAAGATAAAGCCACATCTTATATGAAGATTTCCTTATAAAACCATTACAAAAAAAACCCACATCTAATAAAAATTACTCTTCTATAGATATCATCATTTTTAAAAAAATTAGTGTGGGACATGGTGAAGGTTTTTAAGTAAGATTAAGAACACCACCTTAATTATGGTCTTAAGTGATGCTACCAGGCATCATGCATAAGGGCTGCCATGTGCGGTCACTTGAGCTGCTAATGCATAAATCCAAGAAACATCGCCCATTTAGACTTTTATCTATGTGGCCACCCTGGGGTGATGCAGTGGGAGATTGTGAGCATTTGGATAAGTTGAATATATGATACTCTGTGTGCATGATGGAGATAGTTTTAGAAAACTGTGTAACCTGCAATTTAGAAATAAATTATTAACAATGTCACCATGCTTATGTTTAAGTAAAATAACCTTTTGAGTGTTTTCACTAATTCATTCATGTGGTAATATTTTTCAAGCAACTATCTTGTTCCAGTAACTTCATTAAGGTCTAAAAATACCATGATAAGTAACAGAGATATGAGTGCTACCTTCATGGGGTTTGCATTCTGATAGAAAACAGTAGATAAACATTCTCAATGTACTATGGGTAAGTGCAATGATGAGGGAGCTATGGAATACTGCAGGAACAGAGGAAGGACATTTAAACTGAAACCTAATTAATTAGTCAGGCCAAAGTTTTAAAATGTTACATATAAGTATCCTGAATAAATAATATTTAGAGCTAACTTTTTCATACTCTGTGAATTGAAAACAGGCCACAAAGGTCAACCAAATGTAAAGGTACTGAGGTTTTCTGGAGTCTCATCATCACTGTTTCTCATCAGCTACTATAACAACCACATCAATTCTGATAAATTGTTACTGTTCTTACTTTTAATGTTATTCTTTATTGTCTCTACTCACAACTAGGGTAAAAAAAATTTTTTTTTGACAGATGTCCCTCATTAACATCAATTATGCAGACCAATGGAATTAATCCCAAAGAATTGGAGTGCTAAAAAGCCATTCACTATCTATTTTCTTGTAATCTCTTCTTGAGCATAATAAACAGAACGAACTTATTGGACTGTCTGCTTTGCAAATGTCTGTTCAGATTATTTATCTTCTCTCTGATGGCCTAAAGCAGGACACAGGCCACTGACTACTCCCTTGCTCTCTCTTTAGCTGGAGAGTTTATCTCAGGTCTTCCAATGAAGGCTTGCTCTCTAAAAGGGCTGAGCACACTGTTATGTTATGTCAGAAGACTTTTTGTGATCTTGCCATTACCCGAGAACCTATATCTCTCCCTTACCCTGAAATGGGTAGGCACGTTAAGACTCTCTACCCACTGTAATCCTTGGCAATGTGCAGCAAACTCTCCTGTTGCCTAGGACACCTGAGCTAGTCTTCTATACAGAATGTACATGCAAAATGTAAGAAAAGAATTCACCCTTACTGAGGACTATAACACTGCAATGACCGAGAATATACAAACTCTGCCTGGCTAAGAAATTGAAAATAAGAACTAATATGCCATATTCAGAAATTTTTAATAAGACTCAGAGGACAATTTCAAGAATAGATAGTATAGATCTATGGTTGAATATGCTAAGAAAACAAACAAGAAAGAAATGTATAAAATATGCTAAAAATGCAACTATGCATATGAATTTCCAGATATAGGATTAGAAACAATGACTGAAAGCTGATTTGTCTGATTTAATTAATTCAATAACTTTGGGGTTTATTTGGTCACCTACTTGTAATTAATTGAGCTTGTGATTCCTAGTCAGAAAAGAAAAATAGCAATTAGTATTATGTTTCATTTTTTCTTCTTAAGAAACAAGATCTTGTTCTGTCGCCCAGGCTGGAGTGCAGTGACATGATTATAGCTCACTATAAACTTGAATTCCTGGGCTCAAGCAATCATCCCACTTCAGCTTCCAGAGTAGTTAGAAATACAGGCAGGCACCAACACACCTGGCTAATTTCTAATTTTTTTTTTGTAGAAATAGGACTTCTCTATGTCGCCAGTGCTCATTTCGACCTCCTGGCCTCAATTAATCCTCTTGCTTTGGCTTCCCAAAGTGCAGAGATTACAGTTATGCTTTAATCAATTGGAACAAATATAATAATTGATATAATGAATAGAACTAGCTCTATGTAAAAATACATGGATATAATACATCTAAATAAAAAATACCAGTTGATAACCAAATTCACTGTCATAAATTTAATAACAAAATGGTTGAGAAAATTAGGATATCATCCTCTAAAGTTACACAGGTTAGGCCATCCCTCAACTTGGAAAAAAAACCTAGATTATGCAGAGTTAAATAACCACTGCAAAGGAGAATTCTGTTTAGAGGCATGCAGTTTCACCAGCTGTGGTAAGTTTTTGTGCCTTTTTGGACCATTGTCTAGAAAGCCTGTTATAGATTGCCAAAGGTGATGTTCTATCTGAGGAAAATTTGCTCTCAGAAGTTCTAAGACCCTTATTATTGCCAACAAGGATCCTTGTGTAAGGACCTAGACTGTCATTTGCAACTGGGTTATAAAAATTGTTGTGTCCACAAACAAATGGGGGAACATCCATGCTCATGGATAGGAAGAATCAGTATTGTGAAAATGGCCATACTACCCAAGGTAATGTATAGATTCAATGCTATCCCCATCAAGCTACCACTGAATTTTTTCACAGAATTGGAAAAAACTACTTTAAATTTCATATGGAACCAAAAAAGAGCCTACACAGCCAAGACAATGCTAAATAAAAAGAACAAAGCTCAAAGCATCATGCTACCTGACTCCAAACTACACTACAAGGCTACAGTAACCAAAACAGCATGGTACTGGTACCAAAACAGATATATAGACCAACAGAACAGAACAGAGGCCTCAGAAATAAGACCACACATCTACAACCATCTGATCTTTGACAAACCTGACAAAAACAAGCAATGGGGAAAGGATTCCCTATTTAATAAGTGGTGCTGGGAAAACTGGCTAGCATATGTAGAAAGCTAAAACTGGATCCCTTCCTTATACCTTATACAAAAATTAACTCAAGATGGATTAAAGACTTAAATTTAAGACATAAAACCATAAAAATCCTAGAAGAAAACCTAAACAATACCATTCAGGACATAGGCATGGGCAAAGACTTCATGACTAAAACACCAAAAGCAATGGCAACAAAAGCCAAAATTGACAAATGGGATCTAATTAAACTAAAGAGCTTCTGCACAGCAAATGAAACTGTCATCAGAGTGAACAGGCAACCTACAGAATGGGAGAAAATTTTTGCAATCTATCCATCTAGCAAAGGGCTAATATCCAGAATCTACAAAGAACTTAAAGAAATTCACAAGAAAAAAAAACAACCCCATCAAAAAGTGGATAAAGGATATGAACAGACACTTCTCAAAAGAAGACATTTATGCAGCCAACAGACATACAAAAAAATGCTCATCATCACTGGTCATCAGAGAAATGCAAATAAAAACCACAATGAGATGCCATCTCACGCCAGTTAGAATGGTGATCATTAAAAAGTCAGGAAACAACAGATGCTGGAGAGGATGTGGAGAAATAGGAATGCTTTTACACTGTTGGTGGGAGTGTAAATTAGTTCAACCATTGTGGAAGACAGTGTGGCAATTCCTCAAGGATCTGGAACTAGAAATACCATTTGACCCAGCATTTCCATTACTGGGTATATACCCAAAGGATTATAAATCATGCTACTATAAAGACATACACACAGGTACTTTATTGAGGCACTATTCACAATAGCAAAGACTTTGAACCAACCCAAATGTCCATCAATAATAGACTGGATTAAGAAAACGTGGCATATATACACCATGGAATACTATGCAGCCATAAAAAAGGATGAGTTCATGTCCTTTGCAGGGACATGGATGAAACTGGAAACCATCATTCTCAGCAAACTAACACAGGAACAGAAAACCAAACACTGCATGTTCTCACTCATTAGTGGGAGTTGAACAATGAGAACACATTGTCACAGGGAGAGGAACATCACACACTGGGGCCTGTTGGGGGCTGGGGTGCTGGGAGAGGGATAGCATTAGGAGAAATATCTAATGTAAATGATGAGTTGATGGGTGCAGCAAATCACCGTGGCACATGTATACCTATGTAACAAACCTGTACATTGTGCACATGTACCTTTGAACTTAGAGTTTAATAATAAAAAAAAAATTGTGTCCAATTTTATATTATTAAATAATTTTGGATAAATGATGACTATATGTAACATACATGCAAGTGGCTCCTCCACTATCCCAACCTCTTATGTCCCCCACCCCAGCTGGAAGAGAACAAATATATTGATGTTTGTGTTTGTTGCTTTCTTTCTATCTGTTGAAATTCTCTTAATGATATATTTAGTTTTGCTTGTGCTTTAGCTTCACAAAAATATCATACTATATATGTAGTTTTTACAATTCACATTTTCTTTTCAAAAGTATGCCTAAGATTCATCCATTTTATTGCATGTAAGTCTAATTCATTCACTTTCATTGCTATGTGACGTTCAGCTTTGTGAATATATTACAGCTTATCATGGATACTGGTGCTGCTTTCAGTATTTTTTTCTGCAGTGAACAATGATACTGAGAGGATTTCTTTTGCTTTGTATTTGTCTTTCAAAATATATTTGCAGGAATTTCTCCAGCATGTGTATTGAGGAGTTGAACTGATGAGTCACAGGGTATGTGAATGTTCATGCATTCATGCACGAGATAACATTAAATTGTTATTCCAAAGTGGTTGTATCATTTTACATTCCCATATCAGTGTAAAAGAGATCCTATTGACCTACAAACTCTAAAGCTCAGGATTGCCAAAGTAATTTTTTACTTTGTAATACATATAAATTATTTTGGTAGTACATATAAAACATTTCAATAGTAATTTACATTTCCCTGATTATTAAAATTGAAAACCTTTTCACATATTTATCATGTTGTCTTTTCCTTTTGTGGAATATCTATTCATGTCTTTTGCTTATCTTTCAATTGAATGTCTGTGTCTCCTTTCGAACTTATTTCAACAATTTCTTTATATATTCTGGTTTATGACTCTTCAGCTAGTTATATGTGTTAAAAATATTTGGCCTCATTTTGTAGCTTATTATTTTATTATCTTTTTTGTTGGACAGGTATATCTTTTATTAAATAGAATTTGTTAATTTTAATATAAGTGAATTTATTAAAAATGTTAATGATCAGTGATTGTTGTGTTCCCCTAGAAAATCCTTTCTTGTGCAGAGTAAATAACAAAAAGATTTCTTTCTTATATTTTAACATGGTTAAAGTTTTGTCTTTCATATTTAAGCCTTTAATCTATCTGGAACTAATTTTTATATTTGTTGTGATGTTGAGATTTAATTACTTTTTTTTTCCTTCTGGTTAACTATTCCTCTCAGCACAGTGTATTGAATATTCTCTCCTCACTCTACAGTGTATCTTTAATCATATACTATATTCATATATATGTGGACCTTTTCCTGGGTTTCTTCTTGGTCAAGAAAGTACTTCTGATCTGTTTAAGACTTGACTTTGTAGTCTTCACTTGAGCACAGTATTGCCTGTCTTATTCCACTTTCCTGTCTACGTTGTCCAAAGCTTAACTTAGTAAGAATACTGGAATTTTCAATAATGTTTTTTAATAAAGAGAAAAAAAACCTCCTCATCTTGACTATTTTTCTTCTGCTATATTATTTTTGTTTCTATGTGCTTTTGTACATTTTCCTACAAATGTTGAAAATTCACAAAGTACACTTTTCTCTTATGAAAACATGCTTCAGTAACACCTGCAAAAACTAATGCCAAAACAAAAACAGATACTGTGCTCTTTGCTTAGCACTGCTGATGAATGCCTCATGCTTCTTAAATAGGAGCACTTGTAGACCTCTCTTTGGATTTAGGCAAAAAAAGAACTTATTTTGTACGTTATGTTTCCTAGGAGAGTCCCAATTATTAAGCAATTCTTAATTATATGATGGTTTTTTATCTCCTAACATAAATATTTCTCTGGATGTGGCAGCTGGAATATAAAGTAAGTTGTGGGAATTTAATTGGTTTTGGAAAATATTGGTACAGATTAACTATTGACTAATAAGGACCTCCCAGCTTAAATATTGACTAACAGAACCTCTAGTCTCTGACAATATTTTGAGGTTGTAGTTTTACTAAGGAATGTGGTCTGGTAAAGATTTTTTTTATTTAGACAATTGTCTATTGTTCACCTTCCTAACTTCTTTTCAATGCTTCTTTGAAAACATAGAAAATAGCACTGTAAGTATCTAACATAAATAAAGCATTTATAAGCAAACATTGGATCTAGATATTCAAGTGTGAACAGGTTGAAGAATGTGTTTTGGTTGGCATGATCCTTAGTTCTCCGGGACTTTGTAACTTTATGAGTGCTTACTAATATTTCTCTACTTCTAAATAAGCTAGGGAAGGTTTCTTGGACAAGACTTAGCATGATTCAAGCTATGAGTGCATAAAGAACATTTGAAACCAAAGGACCACAAATTAGATTTTATGTGAAGAGATCTACACACTAAAATGACTGTACCTTCTCTTGCTTTTGCTGTGCCATTCCTTTCCTGTCATTGGAGTTCAAGATAGATCTCTAGAGCGTCCTGATTTAACTTACCCACCACATTATACTGTTTACCCAGCTATTCATCTCAACTTACTTTTGAAATTGCGTTCCATAATTGAAATGTTATTTGACTATATAATTACCAAGTGTCTAGTGTCAGGAGTTTCATAAATTATGCAACATGTGTTCCCTAGCTGCATTATTCTATAATCTGTGGGTTTTCCAGTTCTTTTATGTTGAATGTCATGTCATAACTCATATACATATATAACTCTGACGTGTTGGTTTTACCAACCACTCAGTGCATTAAAAAAATAATAATAAAAGGCTTTGTTTCTGCTACAATAATATTTTTAAATCTGATAAATAGATTACTTCTTGAATAAATTCAAAATTAAAAATCTGTAAAGGAGAATTTCACTAAGATAAGGAAAGGGCTAAATATTGCTAAGAGTCAGAAGTAAATTTAATTAAAATGAAGAACTAGACTTGTAAATAATGAAAAATTTGCCAACCTTCCAGCCACACTTAGTAAACAACTCTTGATTCATCCACTTATTATGAATTTTTACACAATCATCATGAACTTTTGAAAATTATGTAATTTATGACACTGCCACTAAAATCTATGTTTAAAGAAATCATAAAATAACATTTAAACAAGTAATATAAGTTAAATAAAAAATTGATACACAACTATGTGCATGTGTATAGACAGATTTAAATTATGTAGAGAAAAACATACTGTATATAGAAAAATAACTGAAAGAAAATAACAAAAGTTATCAGGAGTTCTCATGGTTGATGTATCTATATTTATTATTTTTATTTTCTAAATTTTCTTTAATATATAATATAGATAATATAACATATGCTGTAATATATTATTTTTTTTTGAGGCAGTGTCTCACTCTGTTGCCCATGCTGGAGTGCAGTGGTACTATCAGGGCTCACTGCAGCTTTGATCTACCACGCTCAAGTGACCCTCCTATCTCAGCTTCCTAAGTAGCTGGGTCTACAGGTGTATGCCACAATACCAGACTAATTTAAAAAATTTTTTTGTAGATGGGCTCTCTCTATGTTGCCCAGACTGGTCTCACACTCCTGGGCTCAAGTGATCCTCCCATCTGGGCCTCACAAAGTGCTGCGATCAAAGGAAGGAGCCACCACATCTGGCTCTGTAATATATATTACAGTATTTATAATATGTATATATTAGTACATGTATATATTTATATTTATATAGTCAAATAAAAAATCTATTCATTGTGACAAATTATTTCTAAATTACCTAATGTGACTTTTCATTATTATTATTCAAAGTGATAGTACCTCATTAAATGTGAATGAAAATTATTATTGAACAAAAGTAATTTAGATAACATAGGGCTGCACAAAAGATAATTTGATGAGTGTGGAATAAGGTAAAAAAAGGTATTGATAATTATACAATATTAATTTGGTCTTGGTTTAAAAAGTCTGGAAATGTTAAAAAATACCAAAAAATACATTGAAATAAATAATTTTATTGTCAACATAATGCATTAAACTGAATAATACTGAAAATGTGGAATCAAGGCTGAAATGATTTAGGTAAATTGAATAAATAATTCTGAAATTTTTAAAACACGCAAAATACAAATATACAAAAATACAAATATACAAATACAAAATACAAATATACAAAATACAAAAATTCCCAAAAGATAAAAGTCATCCATTATATAGAAAATGTTATATGTTTTACCAAAATAAATTTTTCAAATAGTTCCTTAGGTGAATTAAGCATTAAGCAGATTTGTGTTTGATTAGATAGATTTACTTGTATTGATCTAGAGCCCAATTTGAGCCAGATTTTAAAGGGCTGACTGGGTTTTAAATAGGATGTTAGTGAAGAGAAAATTCAACAAAAAAAGAGAGCATAGTGTATGTTCAAGGAGTGGGGCACTGCTAACAGGCTGAAGGATCTATTATGTGTGGATCAGTTAGTGGGAGGAAATGCATGTAGAATCCAAAGGGTTAGGAGCTGGAAATACCACTGTATAAATCTCCAAAGTGAATTTTTCTCCATGGATGTAAAGGGTACAATATTTATCTATTTACACCATTTGGATCATACAATTCCTTGGGTATGATAGGCATTTATTATTGAGCACTTTAATGGGATACTAGACATTCTACACTGTGAACAGTGAGCAAAAACAGAAGAAAAAGGTGCCTTTGTAAAGACTTCATGTGCTATAGTAAATGTAATTTCAATCATAGTGAAAATTTTGGGGAAAGCGAAATGAAGGGAAAGTAGGATTGAATTTATAAGGTATACCAAGGAGTAGAATAAAGAGGAAGCCCTTTATTATTTTATGATCAGCTGATGGACTAAAATAAATATTGATAAATAGATATATAACCTTATACACTTGATTCTGAATGTCACTGATGTCACTGACTGGTTAAGTAAGATTCTTTGGGTAATCTGTGTTTCTCAAAATAACATAGACCCACGGAAATAACTTGAAAGATAGTTGTAATAATAAATTGCAAAGTATATTTTTATTGTGGGAAGAGGGATGAACTTCTCAGTGTTTCCTAAATCATCTTTTTTAGGTTTAGCTATAAAATTGACCATCAGAGGCAATTATTTTAGGGGAAACACACTAGTCAACATTAGTTATTTCCAGATTAAATTAGGCTTTAACTCATTAGAAAATATGGCGTGTTGCCTCTCCTCTTCTTCTCCCTGGGTTAATGCAGCTCAGTGTGAAGAATGTCCATTTCTGAGTCTGGTTACTGCTGTGGCTGGCCCCATGGGAGTTTCATCATCCTATCATTGCAACATAAATACATTTTGTGATTTCAGGTGGAAAGAGGATTCAAAAATATAAATTAAATTCAGTTTTAGAAAATATAAAAATAATTATTTTTTTACACATATGGTTTTATGGAGACAAATTCATCTTCACCTTACTACTATAATATTAAGGGAGATGGAAGACTTTGCTAAAAATCAGTACATAGTAGCAGTAATAGTGCTAATAAAATAGTAGAAATGGATTTCCATGTTTTTCAAAAGAAGAAAGTTATTGAGAGATTTTGCAGGAAAGATGTGAATTAGAAGGACTCGGTTCTTTGGAGATAATCATTTCACACTTTTAAGAGTTAATTAAGGTTGCAATGCCTCAAAGTGACTATTAGGTGTTCAAAGTTGTAAGGGTAAGACACACTGAGTTTACATACAGTAACAGATGATATTTTAAGGACACATGGGAAAGGAAGACAAGAACCTCAACTTGCACGTAGCCAGGCTTAGAGCATACCTCAACCAGACATGCTGTGCTCAGCCCCAGTGAGGCTGGGACTGATTTCACTTGCTTACCATCTGGTTGCTGTCACACAGCTACAATGTGATGTCCCTTGTGTGATCCCTAGACATTATTATATAATCTTTGGACAGTGTATCAAGAGGCCATGGGTGATGTAGTAGGAATCTGAACCCAAAACCAAGAATCTAGGTAAAGTGACTTTCTAAGGACAATATTTGCTATTTATGCATAAATATGCTAAAATATACACTAACTCCATTTGAACAAATGATATCTTTTCCTTTGGAAATGTGAAGGCCAAATACACACAGAGAGGTAGTCTTCTGTGGGGTATAAAGGCAGTTAGCAGAAATAATGAATTCTAGCCACAGCATTTATCTCTCTCATTTTGCTACAATATCTGTAGGACAGCTATAGTCTTCAAATGCAGTATTCAAATGTTCACTCCATTTTCCACTATAGTGCTCCTCAGCTAACTTCCAACCTCTCTGGTAGAGAATATACAGCAGCTTTCAAGTAACTTTTAGGCCTCAAGGCCCAGAAGACTTGAGGTGCGGACATTAGGTGCTCTCTGATCAAGGCACTGTACTTTGCCATTGTTGTTCTGTTACCATATGACTGTGATAGAAGGCATTTCTGTTTAGAATGCTGGGCCTCAGGATTCTGGACAGGAAATAGGGATTCGTTGCTTATATTTCAAATCAGCAAACTTAGCTGAGAATTAAGGTGGTTCTAGGTCAGCCCCAACTTCCACCTCCATCCCAGAAACTCAGCCAAGAACAGTGGAAGAATTCATAGGTACTCCCACCAATATTGAAATATCCTTCATCTCCTTCCACTCTATCCCTTCTCCAATCTTAGAGAGTTTTTCATACATGTGTGCTTGACTGAAAAGGGGATGGTTACTATCTGCCTATTGATGTCTTCTAAATCTTTCCATCTTACATATGGTGGTGATACTTTATGATACTTTACGGTACTTTAAGATCTTCTAAATCTTTCCATCTTACATCTGGTGGTGATACTTTATGATTTAACACCCATTTGAGGGCACAGTGACCTCATGTCTTTCAGCCCAAATGGGGAGTAACAAAAGTCTTCCCCAGGTTCTCTATCCATGTCTCTGCCTTTTTTCTTATTTTTCTTTCATGTCTTGTCTTCCCTACCATTCGTACCCTCTGCTGTCAAAGTCTGATGCTGACTGTGGTCAGGCCACTTATTTATCCTAAAAGCTTATCAATTTATCAATTTCCACAGAATAGTGCTTAATCTCATAGTTAAAAAATCCAAATTCCTAAGTGATCTGACCCCAATTTGCCTTCCCAATTCTATTTTTCACCACTCTATTTAATTTCTATTCTCCTGGCAAAAGAGAATTTCTTAATGTTTTTCATACGTTATTTTTGCTTCAGTGTCCTGTTAAATGCCAGAAATGTTTTATGCTATCATTTTCAAATGCTCAAATTCTAGTAAATTTTCAGGGTTCATTAAATTTCTCCCTCAATTGCCAACACACATGCGCATGTGTGCACGCGCACACACACACACCCACACTCTGTTGTCCAAACTACCATAAATCTTTCCTTATTCCCTTAAGCACTTATAATTTATCTTATGTTGTAGTAATTTAAGCTGAAGTGGGTAGTCCCACTAGATTAAGTTTTCATTTTCTTAAGTTCAAACAAGTTTCTCACTGATTATGTATCCCCAGAAAAAAATATATAATGATGTATAAAGTATAAGATAGGCAACACATTTGTGATCAAAATGATTAATTTTAGATTTGAATTCTTACCTAAATAGATTTTTTTTATTGAACCACAAGGAGAAAAATTTGATTTTGAAGAGGCTTTATTTTACTTCAGCCAGCTGTATCATTATGTATGTGCACACGCAAAGGGACACACACACCATTGCAGAGCATGTGGATGATGGATTTTGCTTTAAATAATATCAAGCTAGGCAACTATGTTCTAGTTTTTGGAAATTTTAGGCAATAATAGGAAGAAATAAAAGACTATTTTGTATTTTCAGTTGTTAATTTGCTTTGGCTTTTAGGAGAAAGGAGACAATTTCAATTTAATGTCTTCATTAATCAACTTTCAGTTCAGCCTCATCATGTGCTGCATTTGTTTAAATTTATTGCCCAGCAAGCTAGCAATTTCAAGAGTGTTTAGCATTGTCAGTCAGTCCACTAGTGTGATATGAAAGAAGCAATGAATGTCACTTTTAGGGCATCTCCTTTCCTGTACAGTTTCAGTTTATTAATCCCATTTGCTTCACTCATGAAATTGTAATGAACCATATTTTCACACTCTTTATCAACTAAAAATGGCCCATAGAGCTTTTTTAAGAACCTTCATTTAGAAAGGTGAAAATGAAAGTTAACATTATGTATTTTAAGCCTTTAAATCTGTAATATGAACTTTATGAAGTTAAAGGATGATTTTCAGTTAAAAGAAAGAAGGTCCTGGAATAAAAAAGGAATAATGTCAACAAAAGAGGGAGTGATCAGATTGAGTCATGAGGGAAATAAGGAAAGGGGAAAACAATAGAATTGGTTTGGGGTTAGTCAATAAAATAACTGAACAGATGATACAATCAAGACTTCTAGATAGTGAAAGAAAGAAAGAAGATCAGTGAATAAAGTCAACAGAAAGACAACCAGTGGAGAAAAAAAGAAAAACACAATATTTCATGGGCTTTATAAAGACCCAGAAAAAAATATCAGAGGTTTAGAACTGAGAATTTAGTTTTTTACTTTTGTTTTTTAAAAGAAGCATTGAAGTTATCGTTCACCTCAGTCACCTCAAAATTTAATTATATCACCAAGGAAGTGAGTACTATAACACATGCAGTAATGGACCTAAGATTCTTTAAAAGATCTTTTCACCAGACATAAGCCCTAAAAAATTTCTGTCATACAAGAGTAAGAAAAACAGAAGCCAAAGTAACCCTAAAAACTAAGCATCTGTTTAAAGAGTTTTAAAAAACATTTTGTTGTTGTTTTGTAAATTGTTTACTCCACAGTAGTCTATCATATTTAAATTCAAAATAGAGAAATAATGTATTAAGGACTATTCATGATGCCTAATAATAATTAGTTTCCTTTACTATTTACTTTGAAAGACCTACTGAATTTTTCTCTCTATTGTTTCTTTTCATGGAAAGATGACTAGGAAGGTCATTTTACCATATTGAACAGATGGATGAAATAATTGAGTAATATTGAATGCTGTACTTACTGGCTAATCTAGCAAAATGGATTTAATATTTCTATAGGGCTAAGGGGCATCATATTATTTCATTACTTTTGTTTCTGGAAACTAGAGTTTAAGTATTTAAAACAAGTCAAAGTAGGCATTGAAAAAAGTATTGAAAAGCTGTGAGGCATGTTCCCTGTTCTGCAAGGCTTTCAATTAAGAGCTCTTTTATTTCTTGGGATCTAATATACCCAATTTCATTTTGTGTCATCAAATCACGTTCCAATGATTTTAGTATGATTATGGCGTATTGGATTTAGAAATGTAAACTAGATGAACTGAGAAGAAAGTATGCTACTGAAAATAAATTATTACAAAGAATCCATGTAACTGCTCTGGGTTGCAATTTCCCAGGACAATTATTTCTTTTTGGCCAAAAATTTTTAAAAAAATAAACAGGAAATTTTTTGACCACTCATGTCTTTTCTTTAGTCAAAAGTCTCCTGTGAAAGTAAGGCTTGTCTTGCAAAGTTATTCCTGAAGCAAATTGACTCAGAGGGCAGCATGACTTATGGTACTGTTACTTTGTATAAACAGTTCTGTCTTATGAGTAATGCTGGGTGAGGTCATGATTTTTAAGCACTTATGGTTTTTGTTGAATCCAATGAGTTTGACAAAAAATACTTCAGGAAGAAGTCAAATTAACATGCTACATTCAAAGGGCTTTACACTTCTTACATATTTACTAATATTGATGATTTTCACACTATGAATTTTCAAGAAACTTAGGAAATCTCTCAGGTAACAGGCATGGTGGCAGCATTCAGTAATATAGATGAGGGTTCAAGAATTGTGTGATTTTGGTTTAGTCATTTCCTCCAGAAGTCAGTTTCTTGTATTATAAAATGAGGAAATTCAGGCCTATACATCTAAAATTCAAGTTGTTTTATCTATGCATACAAGTTTTAAGGCAATTTTAATAAACTTTTAATTTTAGAATAAATGTAGATTTACAGAAAAATTGTGAAGATAGTATATCTTGTTACTCCTGCTGTTCATATCTTACATTTGGTATATTTGTCATAACTAATGAAATAATTGATACATTGTTATTAACTGAAATCCATACTTTAATTAGATTTCCTTTATTTTTACCTAATGGTCTTTTTATATTCCAGAATTCCATCCAGGATATCATATTACATTTAGTTGTCATATCTCCTTGGGCTCTCTTGGCTGTTACAATTTCTCAGACTTCTTTGTTTATTATTTTTTTTAAATTTTTAAACTTTTAATTTTTTAAAAAAAATTATGGATACATAGTAGGTGTGTACATTTTGCAGAACTGTTTACAATAGCTAAGATTTGGAAACAACCTAAGTGTCCATCAATAGATGAGTGAATAAATAAAACGTGGTACATTTACACAATGGAATATTCAGTCATTAAAAAAAAATAAGATCCAGTCATTTGCAGCAATATGGATGGAACTAGAGATCATTATGTTAAGTGAAATAACCCAAGCACAGAAAGACTTCCTTATTTTTGATGACTGGCAGTTTTGAGAAGTGTGGGCTAGGTATTTTGTTGAATTTTTCTCTATTGGAATTTGTCTGAGATAGTTCTTATGCCTGGTTTCAGATTATAGGTTTTTGGGAAAAGAATTTACAGAGGTCAGGTGTTATTCTTATCACATCACATCAAAGGTACATACTGTCAACATGATTTATCACTGATGATGTTGGCTTTGATGACCTGGCTGAGATAGTGCTTTTCAGATTTCTCCACTGTAAAGTTACTCTTTTTTTCTTCCCCTTTCCTATGTTCTGCTCTTTGGAGGAAATTTTTATGTGTAGCCCATACTTTAGAAGTAGAGAGTTCTGCTCTATCTTCTTGAGGGTTCAGTATCTACAGAAATTCTTTGCAATTCTAGTGATTATGATTAGGTCTCGGTTTTAGCTTGTGCCTCTGAAATGTGAACTTTATAAGTGCATTTAGTCCTCTATCCCCATGATGGAAGCATGAAGGGATTTTGCACTGTGCACTGGGAGAACCACATTGAACTCCTGGAGGTAAAACTCATAAAAGTGTGGGGACTCCCTATCACTGCTCCCCATCCTGGAGTTTTGAACTCTCAGACTTGCCTACAATGAGCCTCTAGCAATCAATTACTGTTTAGGTTTTTCTGCTCTGGTTCTAGTTCCCATGGCCGTTTCTGCTTCAATAAGCCATGACTCCTTGTATGCACCTGTCTGTCAATCCAATTTTGGGGTCAGTGATTTGCCCTGACACCTGAATTCTCTGACAGCTCTAGGACAAGTTGTTGATTTTTGAGCTTCTTCAGCTTTTTCCTTGTTAGGATAAAGTAACAACATTCAAGTTCCTTACATGATGGGCCCAAATTGAAAGTCTGAAAAACGTTGAACATTTCTTTTGGGCAAAAATCCCCTCAGTTTCATTCATCTGACAAGATTTGTATTTCTCCTTAACTTTTGAGAGATAATTTCACCGGGTGTAGACTTATAAGTTGGTGGTTCTTATCTTTCTATACTAAAGATTTTGTCATACTCTCTTTTTCCTTGCATGTTTTTTTTCTGAGAAGTGTACTGTCTTTCTTATCCCTGTTCCTCCAGAAATCAAGTACTTTATTTTCTCTTAGGCTTCTCTAAAGATGTTTTTTTGGTCTTTGGTTTTCTACAGCTTGAATATGACACGTCTAAGTATATGTGTCTATGTTTTTGTGTTTTTTTTTTAATATTTATGCTTCTCTGAGCATCCAAAATCTGTAATTTTTTGTTTGGTGTTAATTTTGGAAGGTTCTCAACTATTATTTCTTCCAATGTTTCTTCTGCTCCATTTTTTGTTTTTCTCCTTCTGATATTCCAATTATACATATATTTTAACTTTTGATATTATCTTACAGTTGTTGGATAGTCTGTTCTTTTAAGATTCTTTTTCAGTTTATTTTAGTTTGGAAAGTTTCAACTGATTTATCTTCAAGCTCACTCTTTATTTCCCTGGCTGTTTTGAGTACACTGAAGAGCCCGTCAAAGGCAGTATTCATTTATTTTACTATGTTTTTTACTTCTAGCATTTCCTTTTGATTCTTTCTTAGGATTTCCATATGTCAACTTATTTTACCTATCTGCTCTTGAATATTATCTACTGTTTCATTAGAGCCCTTACCATAATAATTCCTATTAATTGAAACGCCCAGTCTGATAATTTCAATACCTATCTCAGCCATGAGTCTAATTATGGTGATTCTCTGTTTCATCAGATGGCATTTTTTATTGCATTTTGACATTCTTTATATTTTTTTGTGAAAGCCAGGCATGTATCAGGTAAAACAAATTAAAGTAAATAGGACCTTCGTGTCAGGATTTATGGTAATCTGGCTAGGAATTGGGCTGTGTTTAGCACATGCTATAGTTATAGTTGCCAGATGCTTCATGTTCTTCTAGTGTCCTTGTATTTGTCTCTTCTTACCTTGAGTTTCTCTGAGTGCTTCTAGTCAGAGGGAGTTTGTGTTGCAGCCCTTTTAGATGTAATCTACTGTTATACTGGAATTGTATTTGTGTGGTGGTAAGGTGTGGGAGAGTAGGAGCATTATATAATCTTGCAATTAAATCTGTCCTTTAGTGGGTTTGTATCCCTGGGGTGTGACCTTCACAACTGTTTCTCTGGTGGTATGGACTAATTTTCCTTAGATTCCCACTTCTTTCCCAAACTGCAGTGTTCCCAATTTATGTCCTTGAAGCCCTGGTCCTTGTTGACTATGTATTTCTGCTCTTTGGTGAAATGGAAGGGTTAGCGTAGGCTGGAGCAAGAGAAATTTCCTTCTCCAAGCTGGGATAAGGTTCCGGCATAGCCTTTTCTACTGAAGAGTGTGCCTTTGTTATGGAGAATGCTCTGAGTGTATTTCAAAATGATTCATTTTTCCCTCCACTTTACAGAGCCATAAGGGGACTTTTCTCCCGTCTTCACCATCAGAATCTGGTAGAGCTCCTGGAGGTAAAGCCTATTAAAGTGTGGGCCACTTCTAAGACTGTGTTTCTCACTCTTTAGATAGTCTACTCTCATGCAGTTAATCAAAAATTACCATTTAAGTGTTTCTTTGTTTTCAGCACTTTAACAGCTTCTGCTTCAGATAAGCAGATATTGGTCTCTGGTGCATCTGTTTTCCCAAATTTCAGGATGATAGTTTGCCTTGCAACTTCAGCTCTCTGATGAGTCTGAAAAAAGACATTGATTTTAAGTTTGTCCAATTTTCTCTTATTGTAATGACAACAGTGACAGCCTCTATGCTGTCAAAACTAAAACCAGAAGTCTAGCTTGCCATAATTATTAGACATGGAAGGAAAAGATTGTGTAAGTAATTTATAAAGAAAAACATTGTTTTAAAGTCAATAAAAAGGTACTGTTTAGTACTAAACTTAGAGACATCATGTTAAAATGACTAAACAGTAGTCTCTTATTTTAATCAATAATGAAAACACATTGTTGAGAGAGAGAGAAACACAGAAAGGGACAAAGAAACAGAGGGAGAGAGAAAGAGAGAGAGAGAGAGAGAGAGAATTTAACACAGCAGTATTCCTCTCATCTAAACAAGAACTATTTTGTCTCTAGTCCTCTTTTCCTGTTAGCTTTGAAATGACTGTATAATTATGTCACTTTTTGGACTCCTGAGAATAAAAATTTAATAAGCTTGAATACACTTGGCCATTTTGAATAACAGCATGTTCTAAAGTCCTAATTTGGAAGGCATGATATCAAATAGTATGTGAGCTTTAATTGTTAATTAGCTTTGACTACACCAAGCATATCTACTCTGTAAAATAAAAGCCCCAGATATTAAAAATTTCAAATAAATAGTTCGAGGATTTCTGATGATGTAAATGAAGTCATAAGATAATTATATGAGTAAATATTTTGTTTTTATTAGTATAACAAATCATTCCAATTACACTGAATTAAATGAATATATGTTCTAATATTTCAGCAACCTGCATGATGTCACTGCTATAGCACTATGATTTTCATATTACATACTCTTGAGACACTTTCCAGAGTATATATGGCTATGTTATAGCATGGTAAGTATTACAATGTGTATGTCTGTGTGCCTATGTAATAATTTTTATGATGCTCTACTGGTCTTCAATGGAGTCTGGATGATTTCAGGTTTGTGAAAGGAGCATTAAAATTTTTCTCTAGATACTATGCTAATATATCTAAGATACTTATTTCATATATTTTTTCAACTTTATCTTATTCTTTTCCTGAAATAAGAATCAGGAGGTACATGTGCAGATTTGTTACAAAGATATATTGCTTGAAGTTGAGGTTTGGAATAAACATGAATCAGCCAGATAGTGAGCATAGTGCCCAATAGGTAGTTTTTCAATCCTTTCCTCCTTCTTTGCCTCCTCTCTCTTGTATTCCCCAATGTCTATTGTTCCCATCTTTATGTCCACGGGTACCCAATGTTTAGCTCCCACTTATAAGTGAGGATGTGTGGTATTTGGTTTTCTGTTTCTGCATTAGTTCACTTAGGATAATGGCATCTAGCTGCAGCCATGTTGCTGCAAATAACATAATTTCATTGTTTTATGGCTGCATAGTATTTCATGGTGTGTATGTACCACATGTTCTTTATCCAGTCCACCATTAATGGGCACCTGAGTTGATTCCATGTCTTTGCTATTGTAAATAGCACTGTGATGAACATATTTTTGCATGTGTCTTTTTGGTAGAACAGTTTATTTTCCTTTGGGTATATCCAGTAATAGGATTGCTGGGTCAAATGATAATTCAACTCTTAGTTCATCTAGAAACCTCCAAACTGCTCTCTACAGTGGCTGAACTGATTTGCATTTCTACCAACAGTGTCTAAATGCTCCCTTTTCTCCACAGCCTTTCCGACATCTGTTATTTTTTGATTTTTTAACAAAAGCCATTCTGACTGGTGTGAGATGGTATTTCATTGTGGTTTTGATTTGCATTTCTCTGATGAATAGTGATGATGAGTATTTCTTCCTACGTTTCTTGGCCACTTGCATAATTTCTTTTGAGATGTAGACACATCTCCTGTCCTTCATGTCCTTGTCCACTTTTTAATGGGGTTATTTTATTCTGGCTTATGGATTTGTTTAAATGTCTTATATATTCTGGATAATACAACTTTGTCAGATGTATAGTTTGCTAATATTTTCTCGAATTCGATAGATTGTCTGTTTGCTCTGTTGATAGTTTGTTTTTTGCTGCACAGAAGCTCTTTAGTTTAATTAGATCCCACTTGTCAATGTTTCTGTTGCAATTTTTTTTGAGGACTTAGCCATAAATTATTTGTCAAGGCTGATATTGAGAAGGATATTTCCTAGCTTTTCACCTGGAATTTTTATACTTTGTAGTCTTATATTTAAGTCTTTAATGCATATTGAGTTAATATTTGCATATGGTGATAGATTGGGGTCCAGTTTCATTCTTCTGCGTATGGATAGGCAGTTATTCCAGCACCATTTATTAAATAGGAAGTCTTTTCCCCATTGTTCGTTTTTATTGGCCTTGTCTAAGATCAGATGGTTGTAGGTGTGTGGCTTTATTTCTGGGTTCTTTATTCTGTTTCATTAGTCTATGTGTCTGTTTTTGTACTGATACCATGCTGTTTTGGTTACTGTAGTCTTATAGTATAGTTTGAAGTTGGGTGATGTGATGCTTCTGGCTTTGTTGTTTTTGCTTAGGATTGCTTTGGTGATTTGGGCTCTTTTTTGGTTCCCTATAAATTTAAGACACTTTTTTCTAGTTCTGTGAAAAATTATGTTGGTAGTTTGATAGGAATACCACTGAATCTATAAATGGTTTTGGACAATATTGCCATTTTAACTATCTTGATTTTTCCAATCTGTGAGCATAAAGTGTTTTTCCACTTATTTTTGTCATCTCTCATTTCTTTCAGCAGTGTTTTGTAGTTCTCTTTGTAGAGCTCTTTCACCTCCTTCATTAGCTTTCTAGATATTTTACTCTTTTTGTGGCTATTGCAAATGATATTGCATTCCTGATTTGGCTCTCTGCGTGAACGTTTTGGTGTACACAAATGCTACTGATTTTTTTATATTGATTTTTTAGATACTTATTTTAATGGTATAATGATTTCAAATTCCCTCTATTTTATACACATTTTTTCAGCCAGTCTGCATTTTTTACTTTATCAAACCACAATTTAAAGAAAACTTTCATTCTTGCATTAAGAACAATTAAATACTGTTGATGAATAACATAGTTTGTAGGCAGAACAGAAACTGGTTTTATAAGTATTTTCCCTTAAGATAGAGGTCATTATATAACCCACATCAATGAGTTCTCAAGAGTGTGGTCTCCTGACCAGCCACATCAGCAACACCGAGGAACCTATTAGAAATTCAAATTTTCAGTCCTCAGTCTAGACCTGTTGAATCAGAAACTCTGGGAATGGGACCCAGCAGTACGTACTTAAACCCATCAGGTAATTCTGATTAGTTTTAAATTTGAGAACTCTCTTAAATTATAGAGATCCAAAAGGAAACAATTCCTAAGGATTCAAAAGAACAAAGGTGTATTAGTGTTAAGTCGATTGTTTCTTAATCTTCTGAATTCTGTTTCTTTCCTTTCCTTTTACAAGTTTCTGTTATTTCAATAATATGGTTCTTTTTCCTTTAGAAGTGGCCACTGCTAAAAGTTGAGTGCAACTGATTTAAGCACTCAGCAAATTCTTACTTCAAAAGTTATGTTTGAGAGCAGATTAGTAATTAGTATTCAATTACTTTAAAAATTCTCAACTCGGCCCTGATTAAATCATTCCAAGTAGTATTTTACGATCGATAGAGGGAAAAGAAAGGATTTATATATATCTGCAGAGTTTAAGGTCCATTAAAATGTAAACATTACAGCATGTTGTTAAATATGGCATCAAATGTGTACTTACTTTAGCTTTTATTGTCCTGATTACTACTAAAAAGAGAAAATAACTAGTGTTTCTTCTTGTATTTCTCCTGTGCTAATTTGTATCATAAAAAGAAAGTAATAAAATTTTTTTAAGAAACAACATAAAAAGAAGCCTAAAGGGGATAAGGGAATATAGAAAGGAAAGTATTGTGAAAGATGGGTGAAATTGTGTCAGATGACATTGGAGAGACTTTTTCAGGTACAGCAATAAGAAGGAAATAAGGCCATATTTGTGAAAAGTCACTTGTCACTTGTCAAATAAAGGACATGAACTAAAGAGATCTGACCTATTCCTATTTCCCCATTCATTAAATGATAGATATACATGTTCAAATTTCTTGCTCCCTCTGTGCTTTCATTTGTCTCCCTGAGGAAGAGGGGTCTCAATACCTGCCTACACCTACTGTGTGGAAAAGTATAAAGGCAAATAATGAGGCTTAAATATAGATTTCTTTGGGGATGGAGTTGGGGGGAACTGAATGGGGGATGGAATTGGGATGGTATTGAAGGGCTTGTCTAACTTATTTTCCCTATGTTTTACTGGACTATATCTTAAACAAAATAACATGTGAGAAAATAAAAGATCTTTGGGCTTCAAGAGATATTAGACATTATCTAGACCAGTTTTACCATTTTAAAAATTCAGTGCAATTTAAGTCTCCGGAAGTTAGCCTAATGTCAAACAATAATTAGCAACAAACACTAGGCTCAACTCATGTCCTTGAATATCATTCTGTGTTTAGACATTTTCTAGAGGGCCGGAAGAAAAAGTGGCATTTATTTAGCTATAAACATATTTTTCTATTTGAGATTATGAATAATATCATGGTAACAAAAGATGAAAAGCAACAACAATATCTCTAAAAATACATTTTGCTTTGCCTAGAATTCAGTAAAAAAATCATTTCAAAAATGTTATACTCAACCACATTGCTCTGCCTAAGCAATGCAGAGAGCCAGCAAAGTAGAAGGTTGTCCCAAAAGAATTTGTACCATAAAGCTTTGAAAAAGCCCTTCAGTTCAGCTCAACTCAATTGAAAAAAATATTTCTTAAGTGATTACTATTTTCTTCCAAGAAAAATCCTGTATTGTTGGTAAACAAAAGTGCATAAACTATGCCCTTTATCCATAAGGAGCTCAGTCTCATAAGGAAAACATACATTTGTACAACTAACTATAATGCAAGTCAAATTATAATAGGTGCTAGAATTAAAATGCAAAATTATACATATGAATATGTAAACATACATTTTTAATTCCTATTTAAAATTTAACATATTGCCTAGCCCAAAAATACATTAATACGCAGTAGTAAAGAAAATTCCAAATCTTAATTCAACAACAATGCAATTTATGTATCATTAATGGCAGAGTATGATCGAGTAATAAAATTCTGGGTCATTCTCACTTGATGTTTTGATAAATGTTTCTCAGAACTGAGCAAAGTCTACACGATAAGTTCCAGACATATTCTACCAGTTCATTGTACAGACTGATAAAATATTTCAGGTAAAATAGAAAATCTGGATAAAGACCGGGTATACATATGGAATGGATAAATTTTGCATAGGTTTGGGAGACAGAGAGTAAATTTCTGGCAGTCTGTCCACTTTCTACAGAAAATGTTAGGTTTTGCTAGTTCAATAAGTCAACCGTGGCCTCATAGATAAAAGCATAGATGAGAACAGCAGCTGTACCTGGATATGGTGCAAATCCCTTATTTAATTATTTTTGTATGGTCATGACTGAAGTATAGTCACACATTCTCCCAGCATGACTGCTGATGGAAAAGTCTTTGAAATTCTCTTGTGTGAATTTTAAATGTCTGCTTCTTTCTCTACCACATTCCATATATGGTGATAACAGAAAAGGCATTCCATTTTCATTGCTTTGTACATGGAAAATGCCATTTTTAGAATTTTCTCAAAGTATGCCAAGAAGTTATACTATTTGGCCTGAGAAAATGCAATGGCATGCATCTGCCAACTCCTGCTACTGTTGCGAGGTCATTGCTAAGCAATTTATAAAGTAATTGTGTCAGGAGCTTTGCCATGCTAGTAATCAATAGGCTTTTTTTGAGAAGTAAATGTAATTTAGCTACTTCTTTACTTGATCCCAAATAAATTATACCTAGAAACATAAGTCAATATGTTCTTTTAACCAAGTATGTATACTCTATTTGTTCTAGTTATCACATGAATGTAGGATTCAAACATACCTTGAAAAATCATTTAGCATATCACCTTACCTTCATTCAATATAGTCTTTAAAATTTATAACAACCAGTATAACCACAGTGCCATATGTTAGTCCTATAGTTGCTGGATTAGAGATAGTTCAGGGCCCTAGTTAGAAGCCGGGTGATCAAGGAAGTAGTGAGGCACTAAGGGGGTTAAGGAACCACTTTTTATCAACTTGAATACTTGACATAGTTAAATATAGTGCTATATTGTATCCACTGTTGAATATTGGCTGAACATAAGCCCTGGCAATATTCAGACAAAGCATGAAAAACCTTCCTTTTTCCTATGATCCTGGGACCATGTCCTCTGAGTTCATATGAAGTGTCAGATTCGATCCTAAATCTTCAGGGCCTCACTATCAATCAAAGCAAGTTGTCCAGTTTGAGAAAAAACCTTCTCTTCATCTGTAATCTAAAAGAATTGTAAAGAAATGAGAATTCAAAACTTTTTAATGCTAATTTTCATAAGTATCCATGGTCAATTCTGTCAATAGTATATTTCTCATATTTTCCATATGACACTCATATTTCCTTTCTCAAGTCATGGGCTCATGTCGATTTTCAAATGCACCTTTCTCTGAAATATATTTTCTCAGAATCACACAAGTTAGCACTTGGATACTCAATAACATGCATTATGTTCTAGTTGCTTCAAGTAAGGAAGCCTTATACCCTTTTGCAAGGTAAACCATTGTTTAAAGGTTATATTTTGTATTTTTTGTGGATTCACCATTGCACTGTGCAAGAAATACAGTGAATATTACTTTTGCTTCTTTTGTTTATGTTTAGCATATTTATCAACCTATTGATCTATTATTTATTTATCAATCTATTTCATATATTTGCTGTTATTTATATTTCTTTTGCTGCTTTAGGAAATTATCACAAACTTAGTAATTTAAAACAATACAAATTTATTATTTACAGTTATGTAGGTCTGAAGTATAATATGCATCTCACTGGGCTTAAACCGAGGTGTGGGCAGGGCTGATTTCTTTCTGTGCACTCTAGGGAATAATTCATTTCCTGCCATTTCTAGCTTCTAGAGCTACTTCCCTTTCTTGTCTCCTGGCCCCCTTCCTCCAGCTACAAAGTCAGCAACAGTGAATCAAACTCTTTTGATGCTGTATCTTTCTGACTTAGAACTCATATGGAGTTTATCTCCTATACATCTAATAATTATTGTTCATATAGTAGGTATGTATTGGATGAACACAAAGGCCTTCAAAACACTGCACATACTTGACATCCATATTTCTTATGAATTTAAGTTATTCTGGAGATCTTTAGGGGGCCGTTATTTTGCTTACCACAAAGTCTAATTTATTCAGCCAAGTTCATCTTGTTCTATTCTCAGGAAGAGTGAATAGCTGGTCAATAAATTAGATGTAATAAAAACTATCAAATTACTGTACAGAAGAAGGTAAAAGGCATCATGTCTCCCTACTCAGTAATAGTCTTTACTTTCTTTTTTAAAACATACTCTAGGAAAATTATAAATCAAAGTTAATAATCTAGCTGAACATTCATATCCCTAGATGTTAAAAATACCTCTTTCTTTTCCATACTTGTACTGCCCTTTAAGTGACCAACTCTATAGTAAAATCCTGTAATGGCATTTCGATGCAGGTGTTTATCATGACTTGCCAGTGCTGGGAAAGTTCCCAAAGTTATCTAAAGGTTCTTCATCCTTCTGCTCACCCATAATGTACTACATTATTGGCTGTCACAGTGTACAAAGGCCCCATAAAGAGGATACAGAAAATTAATATACAAATAGCCCAGTTTGACAAGGTTGGATATTTGAGAATTATATTCTCGTTCAATTTTATCATTCCAGTATATTAATTTTAATTAATTTTAATTCCTGCTCCATTGATTACTATTACTGTCACTGTGAACAATTATTTGACTTTTTAAAACTTAGTTTTGTAATATACAAAATAATTAAATGAGATAACATAATAATTAACATTGAGTAAATGTTTGCTCTTTTTCTCTCTTCTTTATATTTAAACTATTTTTAGTAGAAATGGCAAATTTTGTCATGCCTTATTATTTTTAATTAGCACACGATTAGTATTAATTTACTGCCTTACATATAAAACCCTTTGAATTTAAGAATCCAACCTTTTCTTCCTGTCTTATAACCAGTTGTATCAATGAATGGATAGCATATTGTTCATGAAGACAAATTATTTAGAAATTTTTAAAAACATTATATTTTCTTCAAAATTTTCTACATCTTATTAAACAGAGGCCATGTCTAATTTATCATTTTATCTCATATGCAGCAATAATTATTGTGAATATAGTAGGCATCTGTTGGATAAACACATAGGGATTCAAAGTACTGCACATACTTGATTTCCATATTTCTCATGGGTTCAAGTTATAATAATTTTATTTATAGATAATAAATCTGTCTCATGTGTACCTTCCTCAGAAGTAGTTTACATGACTTAATCTAAAATGCTTCTTTTCCCACAACCCAATCAATTCAGATTCAATAATTAAGTAAGCTGTCTCTATTTTTTTTTTTACTTATAAAAAATGGCTTTTTTTGAGATTGTGACTAAAGTACTTCAAAATTGCTTGAGGAAGATGAAAGTAATTTTAGTAAAAGTGGTTTTGTGGGTCATTTCTGAAGAATCAGTTTCTGAACAATGAAGATAAGATGAAAATACAAGTCAGGCAGAAATACATATTCAGGCAAGATATGAAAGTTGTTCTGGGAAAATCTTTCAGCTATTAATTTCACTGAGCTTCAATTCACAGAAGTCAATAATAGCTTCATGCTTTACAGAGTAGCTGAATGAATTTCATTTGCAAAAGTGGATGAAAACAAAGACACCAAAGACTTCCAATCCAACGCATACAGAAGGAATATTATTTGATATGCAACATTAATTAATTTCACATTTTTTAACCTTAAATACTTATTTATTCCTCCTGACCAACTGCAACTTAGTACCCTTTGATCAACATCTCCACATTCTCATATACCCCAAACTTTTGGTAACCACTATTCTACTCCCTGCTTCTAAGAGCTCAATTGTTTTGGATTCCAAATATAAGTGACAACATGCAGTCTTTGTCTTTCTGTGCCTGGCTTATTTCATTAAGCATAATGTCCTCCAGGTTCATCCATATTGTTCTTAATGACAGAATGTTCTTTCTTTTTTTAAGACTGCATAGTACTCCATTATGCATATATACAGGATGATAATCCATACTCTGAAAATGTGAAAACTGAAAACCTGCAAAATTCAAAACTTTTGGCCAGTCATATAATGCCACAAGTGGAAAATTCCACACCTGACCTCATGTGACAAATCACAGTCAAACTGCAGACACACAAAACACAGTTTACTCAGCATCCCCAAGAGAAAAGATTTTCCCTGCCCCCTTCAGGTGTGAAATATCTTTTCCACATATGCACAGATTCCCCCATGCAAGCACACCCACAAAGGGTACTAAAATGGCACGTGTGTAGCCTCAACATGCCAACAACAAGTTCACCACCATGATACCTGACATAGGGCCGAGATCTACGTGCGTTACTCATTGTGATTTTTTTGTTGCTGTTTATTTTCTGCTCTGTGGTGTAAAGATATTGTTAAAAATGTTTAAAAGGCCTGCAGAAACCCCTGTAGGTAACAGTGGTAAGAAAAAGATAAAACACAAAAAGTCAAGCTGCCATTGAAACTTGATAGTTGCTTTAAGTGTGAAACATCTTACAGAAGACTATGGTCATCATATATACCTGAAAAAACATAAGGATAAATTGTTAAAGTTCTATGGTGAAAAAGATGAACAGAAATTAATAAAAAATAGAAAGGCACTGTATAAAGCTAAAAAGGAAGGTCTTATTTTATGATTAAGATCTGGATCAGGTATTGAAAAATTAGATCTATCATCATTGTAATGAACACATCCCATTTAATAGTACGCTGATCATGAAACAAACAAGCAGAGATCTATCATGATAAACTGAAAGTTAAAGGGAGCTGTGAATACTCAAGAGTCTAGCTGCAGAATTAAAAAAACACACGGCATTACTCGTTTAGAGATTTGTGATGATAAAGCAGCTGCTGAACACAAAGCAGTGGGAATATCCATTGACAAGTTTGTCAAGATTATTGCTGGTGAAAATCTGATGCCAAGACAAGTCTATAGTGCTAATGAAACATCACCGTTTTCATGTTATTGCCCAAAAAGACACTGACTACTGCTGATGAGCCAGCCCCTACAAGAGTTAAGGATGCCAAAGACAGAATAACTGTGCTAGGCTGTGCTAATGCAGCAGGCATGCATAAGTAAACTTGTGATAGGTTCAAATGTGCATGCTTGTTGTGTCCAAGGAGCAAATGTCTGCCAGTCAATTATGATGCTAACAAAAAGGCATGAATCACCACGGACATCTTTCATTATTGTTTTCACATACATTTTGTATCAGCAGCTCATGCTTACTGCAAGAAAACAGGACTGAATGATGACTATAAGATTTTGTTATTCTTCAACAAGTGTTCTGTTCATCCTCCAGCTGAAATACTCATAAAAAGTAATGTTTATGGCATGTACTTTCCCCAAATTTGAATTCAATTATTCAGCCATAAAAGAGGGTACCCTTAGATCAATAAATAGTAAATACGAAAGGATACCATACATGTTGTTGCCAACACTTTGAACACAATGACACAGTTGGGCATGCCTGGAACAACCTCTGGCCTGTGATTGTGTTCAGTGATGATGATGAACAAGGTGGTGACTTCGAAGGATTCCATATGTTAAGTGAGAAATAAATGATGTCTGACATTCTTATCTATGCAAAAGAAAAAAAAAATACATTCCGAGTCCTTCAGTAAGCCAGAAGAAGTGATATTGAAGTTTGTAACATTGAAAATTAGGCTCAGGGGGTGTTCCAAGATGGCCGAATAGGAACAGCTCTGGTCTGCAGCTCCCAGCATGTTTGGCGCAGAAGATGAGTGATTTCTGCATTTCCAACTGAGGTACCTGGTTCATTTTCTTGGGACTGGTTGGACAGTGGGTACAGCCCAAGGAGGGCGAGCTGAAGCAGGCCAGGGTGTTGCCTCAACTGGGAAGCCCAAGGGGTTGGGGGATTTCCCTTTCCTGGCTAAGGGAAGTGGTGACAGACTACCTGGAAAAACAGGACACTCCCCATCCAAATACTGAGCTTTTCCCAAGGTCTTAACATCCGGCAGACAAGGTGATTCTCTCCCGTGCCTGACTTGACAGGTCCCACACCCACAAAGCCTTGCTCACTGCTAGTGCAGCAGTTTGAGATCATTCTGTGAGGCTGCAGCCTGGCGGGGGGAGGGGTGTCCGTAATTGCCGAGGCTTGAGTAGATAAACAAACAGCCAGGAAGCTTGAACTGGGCAGAGTCCACTGCAGCTCAACAAGGCCTACTGCCTCTAGACTCTACCTCTGTGGACAGGGCATAGCTGAACAAAAGGCAGCAGACAACTTCTGCAGACTTAAACGTCCCTGTCTGACAGCTCTGAAGAGAACAGTGGTTCTCCCAGCACGGCGTTTGAGTTCTGAGAATGGACAGACTGCCTCCTGAAGGGTCCCTGACCCCCGTGTAGCTTAACTGGGAGACACCTCCCAGTAGGGTCCAACAGACACCTCATATAGGCGTCTGCCCCTCTGGGATGAAGTTCCAGAGGAAGGATCTGGCAGCAATATTTGCTGTTCTGTAATATTTGCTGTTCTGCAGCCTCCGCTGGTGATACCCAGGCAAACAGGGTCTGGAGTGGAACTCCAGCAAACTCCAACAGACCTGCAGCTGAGGGACCTGTTAGAAGGAAAACTAACAAGCAGAAAGGAATAGCATCAACATCAACAAAAAGGTCATCTACACCAACACCCCATCTGTAGGTCACCAACATCAAAGACCAAAGGTAGACAAAACCACAAAGATGGGGAGAAAACAGAGCAGAAAAGCTGAAAATTCTAATAATCAGAGTGCCTCTTCTCCTCCAAAGGATCATAGCTCCTCACCAGCAATGCAATGAAGCTGGATGGAGAATGACTTTGATGAGTTGACAGAAGTAGGCTTCAGAAGGTCGATAATAACAAACTTCTCTGAGCTAAAGGAGGATGCTTGAACCCATCTCAAGGAAGCTTAAAACCTTGAAAAAAAATTAGACAAATGGCTAACTAGAATAAACAGTGTAGAGAAGACTTTAAATGATCTGATGGAGCTGAAAACCATGGCACAAGAACTTTGTGACGCATGCACAAGCTTCAATAGTGAAATCGATCAAGTGGAAGAAAGGGTATCAGTGATTGAATATCAAATTAATGAAATAAAGTGAGAAGACAAGGTTAGAGAAAAAAAGACTAAAAGAAAATGAACAAAGCCTCCAAGAAATATGAGACTATGTGAAAAGACCAAATCTACATTTGATTGGTACCTGAAAGTGATAGGGAGAATGGAACCAAGTTGGAAAACACTCTTCAGGGTATTAGCGAGGAGAACTTCCCCAACTTAGCAAGGCAGGCCAACATTCAAATTGAGGAAATACAGAGAACACCACAAAGATACCCCTTGAGAAGAGCAACCCCAAGACACATAATTGTCAGATTCACCAAGGTTGAAATGAAGGAAAAAGTGTTAGCAGCAGCCAGAGAGAAAGGTTGAGTTACCCACAAAGGGAAGCCCATCAGACTAACAGCAGATCTCTCAGCAGAAACCCTACAAGCAGGAAGAGAGTGGGGGCCAATATTCAACATTCTTAAAGAAAAGAATTTTCAACCTACAATTTCATATCCAGCCAAACTAAGCTTCATAAGTGAAGGAGAAATAAACCCCTACAGACAAGCAAATGCTGAGAGATTTTGTCACCACCAGACCTGCCCTAAAACAGCTCCTGAAGGAAGCACTAAACATGGAAAGAAACAACTGGTACCAGCCACTGCAAAAATGACCCAATTGTAAAGACCGTTGATGCTATGAAGAAACTGCATCAATTAACAGGCAAAATAACTAGCAAACATCATAATGACAGGATCAAATTGCTTGTTAATATTGACCTTAAATGTAAATGGGCTAAATGCCCCAATTAAAAGACACAGACTGGCAAATTGGATAAAGAGTCAAGACTCATCAGTGTGCTGCATTCAGGAGACCCATCTCATGTGCAAAGACGCACATAGTCTCAAAATAAAGGGATGGAGGAAGATCTACCAAGCAAATGGAAAGCAAAAAAAAAAAAAAAAAGAAAAGCACGGGTTGCAATCCTAGTCTCTGATAAAACAGACTTTAAACCAACAAAGATCAAAAGAGACAAAGAAGGACATTACATAATGGTAAAGGGATCCATTCAACAAGAAGAGCTAACTATCCTAAATATATATGCACCCAATACAGGAGCACCCTGTTTCATAAAGCAAGTCCTTAGAGACTACAAAGAGACTTAGACTCTCACACAATAATAATGGGAGAGTTTAACACCCCACTGTCAATATTAGACAGATCAATGAGACAGAAGGTTAACAAGGATATCCAGGACCTGAACTCAGCTCTGTAACAAGCAGACCTAACAGACATCTACAGAACTCTCCACCCCAAATCAACAGAATATACATTCTTCTCAGCACCATATCACACTTACTGTAAAATTGACCACATAATTGGAAATGGAGCACTCCTCAGCAAATGTAAAATAACAGAAATCACAACAAACTGCCTCTCAGATCACAATGCAATCAAATTAGAACTCAGGATTAAGAAACTCACTCAAAACCATGCAACTACATGGAAACTGAACAACCTGCTCCTGAATGACTACTGGGTAAATAATGAAATGAAGGCAGAAATAAAGATGTTCTTTGAAACCAATGAGAACAAAGACACAAAGTACCAGAATCTGTGGGACACATTTAAAGCAGTGTGTAGAGGGAGATTTATAGCACTAAATGCTCACAAGAGAAAGCAGTAAAGATCTAAAATCGACACCCTAACATCACAATTAGAAGAACTAGAGAAGCAAGAGCAAACAAATTCAAAAGCTAGCAGACGGAAAGAAATAACTAAGATCAGAGCAGAACTGAAAGAGGTAGAGACACAAAAAACCCTTCAAAAATCAGTGAATCCAGGAACTGGTTTTTGAAAAGATCAACAAAATTGATAGATTGCTAGCAAGAATAATAAAGAAGAAATGAGAGAAAAATCAAATAGATGCAATACAAAATGATAAAGGGGATCTCACCACCAATCCCACAGAAATACAAACTACCGTCAGAGAATACTATAAACACCTCTATGCGAATGAACTAGAAAATCTAGAAGAAATGGACACATTCCTGGACACAAACACCCTCTCATGGCTAAACCAGGAAGAAGCTGAATCTCGGAATAGACCAATAACAGGCTCTGAAATTGAGGCAATAGTTAATAGCTTACCAACAAAAAAAGTCGAGGACCAGACAGATTCACAGCCGAATTCTACCAGAAGTACAAAGCACAGCTGGCACCAGTCCTTCTGAAACTATTCCAATCAATAGAAAAAGAGGGAATCCTCCCTAACTCATTTTGTGAGGCCAACAACATCCTGATACCAAAGCCTGCAGAGACACAACAAAAAAAGAGAATTTTAGACCAATATCCCTGATGAACATCGATGCGAATATCCTCAATAAAATACTGGCAAACTGAATCCAGCAGCACATCAAAATCTTATCCACCAAAATCAAGTTGGCTTCATCCCTGGGATGCAAGCCTGGTTCAACATATGCAAATCAATAAATGAGATCCATCACATAAACAGAACCAATGACAAAAACCACATGACTATCTCAGTAGATGCATAAAAGGCCTTTGATAAAATTCAACAGCGCTTCATGCTAAAAAACTCTCAATAAACTAGGTATTGATGGAACATATCTCAAAATAATAAGAGCTATTTATGACAAACCCACAGCCAATATCATACTGAATGGGCAAAAACTGGAAGCATTCCCTTGCAAAACCGACACAAGACAAGGATGTCCTCTCTCACCATTCCTATTCAATATAGTGTTGCCAGGGCAATCACGGAAGAGAAAGAAATAAAGGGTATTCAATTAGGAAAAGAGGAAGTCAAATTGTCCCTGTATGCAGATGACATGATTGTATATCTAGAAAACACCATTGTCCTCAGCCCAAAATCTCCTTAAGCTAATAAGCAACTTCAGCAAAAGCTCAGGATCAAAATCAATGTGCAAAAATCACAAGCATTCCTATACAATATTAACAGACAGAGAGCCAAATCATGCGTGAACTCACATTCACAATTGCTATGAAGAGAATAAAATACCTAGAAATCCAACTTACAAGGGATGTGAAGGACTTCTTCAAGAACTACAAACCACTGCTCAATAAAATAAAAGAGGATGCAAACAAATGGAAGAATATTCCATGCTCATGGATAGGAAGAATCAATATCATAAAAATGGCCATACTGCCAAAGTAATTTATAGATTCAATGCCATCCCCATCAAGCTACTAATGACTTTCTTCACAGAATTGGAAAAAACTACTTTAAAGTTCACATGGAACAAAAGAGCCCACATTGCCAAGACAATCCTAAGCAAAAAGAACAAAGGTGGAAGCATCACGCTACCTGACTTCAAACTATATTACAAGGCTACAGTAGCCAAAACGGGATGGTACTGGTACCAAAACAGATATGTAGATGAATGGAACAGAACAGAGGCCTCAGAAATAATGCTACACATCTACAACCATCTGATCTTTGACAAACCTGACAAAAACAAGCAATGGGGAAAGGATTCCCTATTTAATAAATGGTGCTGGGAAAACTGGCTAGCCATATGTAGAAAGCTGAAACTGGATCCCTTCCTTATACCTTATACAAAAATTAATTCAAGATAGATTAAAGGCTTAAATGTTAGACCTAAAACAATAAAAACCCTAGAAAAAAACCTAAGCAATACCATTCAGGACATAGTCATGGGCAGGGACTTCATGACTAAAACACCAAAATCAAGGCAACAAAAGCCAAAATTGACAAATGGGATCTAAGTAAACTAAAGAGCTTCGGCACAGCAAAAGGAACCATGATCAGAGTGAACAGGCAACCTACAGAATGGGAGAAAATTTTTGCAATCTACCCATCTGACAAAGCACTAATATCCAGAATCTACAAGGAACTCAAACAAATGTACAAGAAAAAAACAACCCCATCAAAAAGTGGGCAAATGATATGAGTAGACACTTCTCAAAAGAAGACATCTATGGAGCTAAGAGACATATGAAAAAATGCTCATAATCAATGGTCATCAGAGAATGCAAATCAAAACCACAATGAGATACCATCTCACACCACTTAGAATGGCAATCATTAAAAAGTCAGGAAACAACAGATGCTGGAGAAGATATGGAGAAATAGAAACGCTTTTACACTGTTGGTGGGAGTGTAAATTGGTTCAACCATTGTGGCAGACAGTGTGGCAATTCCTCAAGGATGTGGAACTAGAAATACCATTTGACCCAGCAATCCCATTACTGGGTATGTGCCCAAAGGATTATAAATCATGCTACTATAAAGACACATGCACACGTATGTTTATTGTGGCACTATTCACAGTAACAAAGACATGGAACCAACCCAAATGTCCATCAATGATATACTGGATTAAGAAAATGTGGCACTTAACACACCTTGGAATACTATGCAGCCATAAAAAAGGATGAGTTCATGTCCTTTGCAGGGACATGGATGAAGCTGGCAACCATCATTCTGAGCAAACTATCGCAAGGACAGAAAACCAAACACCACATGTTCTCACTCATAGGTGGGAATTGAACAATGAGATCACTTGGACACAGGGCGGGGAAAATCACACACTGGGGCCTGTCAGGGGTTGAGGCCCTGGGAGAGGGATATCATTAGGAGAAATACCTAATGTAAATGATGGGTTGATGGGTGCAGCAAACCAACATGGCACATGTATACCTATGTATCAAACCTGCACGTTGTGCACATGTACCCTAGAACTTAAAGTATAATAAAAAGAAAAAGAAAAGAAAATTAGGCTCCACTTGTTCATTCACTGACTGATGGTGAAATAGCCAAAATGATCCTGAGTCAAAGTGATTGTAGTAATAGTGATAATGAAGATGACATTTAACAGTGATAACCACTGCAGAAGTGCCTGTAGGTTAATTACATGGTCAAATATATAATGAGCTTATTGAAGGACTAGGGCAGTATGCATTCATAACAAAACAAGAAATCATATTAGTTTATAAAATCAAAGAGAGACTTTGACAACAAATACAATTGTTAATAAGGCAAATGACTTTGGAGGAAACATTTTTAAATGCCTTCTGGCTGAATGCCTCCTCAACTCTAAATGATCCACCTCCTTGTCCCTCAACTGCTTCTGATGTTTTTTCTCACCTAAAAAAAATACATTGTATAGTATCCTGTTAATAAAAACACAGTATTATAGGTGGAGACTAAAATCCTTTTGTTGTTTGCAGTTGCTGTTATTTAACAGCTAATACAGGTATTCTGGTGATGCAACTGTGTTGCTTAGCTAAGCTGAACACATTATTTTTTCACTGGATTAATGGTATGTCAACTTGTTTACTGTTAAGTACTTATGTGCAAATAAGTGTGAGAAAAATGACTGCTTATCAGTAGCCTATAAATTCAGAGTCAGCAATGATGGTGATGTGGATAACCACAGATTGTTTGCATAGATGGCTGAGATAGGGATGCTTTTGCTTCCTGATGGTTTAATATACACAAATGTTGTTTTATGTGTAAAATTATTTAAAATATTGTGTAAATTACTTTTAGGTATGTATAAAATGTTTATATGTAATATAAGTGAATTTTATGCTTAGACTTGTATCCTCTCCCAATGTATCTCATTATGTATGTGCAAGTATTCCAAAATCCAAAAAAAAATTCAAACTTGGAAGCACTTCTGGTCCTAAGCATTTGAGATGAGAGATACTCAACCTGTACCATGTTTTCTTTATCCATTTATTTGTTGATGGGTATGAAGAATTGTTTTCCTCTTTTAACTGTTGTGAATAATATTGCAATGAACATGGGAGTGCAGATATCTCTTTGACGTACTGATTTCAAGTCTTAAGATATAAACCCAGAAATAGGATTGCTGAATCATATTGTAATTGCATTTCTCCTTTTTTGAAGACCTCTGTATTAGTTCATTTTCATGCTGCTGATAAAGACATACCTGAGACTGGGAAGAAAAATAGGTTTACTTGGACTTACAGTTCCACATGGCTGGGGAGGCCTCAGAATCATGGTGGGGGGCCAAAGGAACTTCCTCCATGGTGGTGGCAAGAGAAAATGAGACAGTGAGACAGATGCAAAAATGGAAAGCCCTGATAAAACCATCAGATCTCGTGAGACTTATTCACTACCATGAGAACAGTATGGTAGAAACTGCCACCATCATTTAAATTATCTCCTACCGGTTCCCTCCCACAACACGTGGGAATTATGGGAGTACAATTCAAGATGAGATTTGGGTGGGGACACAGAGCCAAACCATATCAGCCTCCATAAATTTTTCTATAATGGCTGTTGATATGATTTGGCAATGTGTCTCCACCCAAATTTCAGCTCAAGTTATAATTTCCAGGGGTTGAGAGAGAGACATGGTGGGAGGTGACTGGATCATTAGGGTGGTTTTCCCCATGCTGTTCTTGTGATAGTGAGTGTGTTCTCATGAGACCTGAAGTTGCTATAAGGGGCTCTTGCCCCTCCGCTTCCTCTCATTTGCTGCCATGTAAAAAGTGCCTGCTTCTCCTTTCACCACGATTGTAAGTTTCCTGAGGCCTCCCTAGCCATGCAGAACTGTGAGCCAATTAAACCTCTTTTCTTATATTAATAAATTGCCCAGTCTCTGGTAGTTCTTTATAGCAGTATAATAATGGACTAATACAGCAGTACTAATTTACGTTTATACCAAAAGTGTACAAGAGTTCCTTTTCCTTCATATTCTTGCAAACGCTTGCTGTTATCTTTTTGATACTAGCCATTCTGACAAGTGTTATGTGATCCCATTGTAGTTTTAAGTTGTACTTCTCTAATGATTAGTGATATGGAGCATCTTTTTCATATATCTTTTGAGAATTTACTTGTCTTCTTTTGAGAAATATCTATTCAGGTCCTTTGCTCATTTTTCATTTTTTTTTTTTTTCACTATTGACATATTGTGTCCGAAATTGGTGGGTTCTTGGTCTTAATGACTTCAAAAATGAAGCCACGGGCCCTCACGGTGAGCGTTACAGTTCTTAAAGATGGTGTGTCTGGAGTTTGTTCCATCTGATGTTTGGACGTGTTTGGAGTTTCTTCCTTCTGGTGGGTTCCTGATCTCGCTGGCTTCAGCAGTGAAGTTGCAGACCTTCACGGTGAGTGTTACAACTCATAAAGGCAGTGCGGACCCAAACAGTGAGCAGCAGCAAGATTTACTGCGAAGAGTGAAAGAACAAAGCTTTCACACTGTGGAAGGCATCCAGAGCGGGTTGCCGCTGCTGGCTTGGGCAGCCTGCTTTTATTCCCTTATCTGGCCCCACCCACATCCTGCTGATTGGTCCATTTTACAGAGAGCTGATTGGTGTGTTTTACAGAGAGCTGATTGGTCCATTTTGACAGGGTGCTGATTGGTGCGTTTACAATCCCTGAGCTAGACACAAAAGTTCTCCAAGTCCCCACTAGATTAGCTAGACACAGAGCACTTATTGGTGCATTTACAAACCTTCAGCTAGATACAGGGTGCTGATTGGTGTGTTTACAATCCTTTAGCTAGACATGAAGGTTCTCCAAGTCCCCACTAGATTAGCTAGACACAGAGCACTGACTGGTGCATTTACAAACCTTGAGCTAAACACAGGGTGCTGATTGGTGTATTTATAAACCTTTAGCTAGACATAAAAGTTCTCCAAGTCCCCACCCGATGCAGGAGCCCAGCTGGCTTCGTCTAGTGGATCCCATGCCAGGGCCGCAGGCAGAACTGCCTGCCAGTCCCACGCTGCGTGCCTGCACTCCTCAGCCCTTAGGCGGTCAATGGGACCAGGCGCTGCAGAGGTTTGGGCTGCACAGGAGCCTACCACAGTGGGTGGCTCAGGCATGGCAGGCTGCAGGTCCCGAGCCCTGCCCAGCGGGGAGGCAGCTGAGGCCCCGGTGAGAATTCAAGTGCGGCACCAGCCAGCCGGCACTGAAGGGGGACCCCGCATACCCTCCACAGCTGCTGGCCCGGGTGCTAAGCCCCTCACTGCCTAGAAGTCACGCTGGCCCGCCAGAGCTGCATGCAGCCCGGGTTCCCGCCCACGCCTCTCCCTCCAAGCCTCCCCACCTCCCCACAAACAGAGGGAGCCAGCTCTGGCCTCCGCCAGCCCAGAGAGAGGCTCCCACGGTGCAGCAGTGGGCTGAATGGCTCCTCAAGTGTGGCCAGAGCGGACGCTGAGGCTGAGGAGGTGCTGATAGCAAGTGAGGGCTGCTAGCACATTGTCACCTCTCAATATAAATTTCTTATGTATTTGGGATATTAATGCTTTATCAGATATATGGTTTACAAGTATGTTCTCTCAATCTGTAGGTTGTCTTTTCACTCTTAATTATTTTTTTTACTGTATAGAGACTTTTTAGTTTGATGTAATTCCATTTGTCCATTTTTGCTTTTGTTGCCTGAGCTTTTTGGAGTCAAATTTTTTAAAAAAATTATTGCACAGACCAGTGTTGTGTAGTTTTCCCTTATGTTTTCTGCTGGTATTATTACAGTTTCAGGTTTTATGTTTAAACATTCATCCCTTTTGAGTTAATTTTTGTTATGATGTAGAAGAAGCATCCAATTCCATTTTTTCTGCTTGTGTATATCTAGTTTTCTCAACAGCCTTTATTGAAAATACTGTTCTTTTCATTGTGTGGTATTGGTACTTTTGTTGAGAATCTATTGACCATAAAAGCGTGGATTTATTTCTGGGCTCTTTATTCTGTTCCACTGATCAGTGTGTCAATTTTGATGATAGTACCATGCAATTTTAGTTACTATAGCTGTGCAGTATAGCTTGAAGCCAGGTAGTGTGATGTCTCCAGCTTTGTTCTTTTTGATCAAGATTGCTTTATTTGTTGATTTTATGGTTCCATATGAATTTTTGAATTGTTTATTCCTATTTTGGTGAAAAATGACCATTGGATTTTTTTTTTTTTTTGAGAAAGAGTCTCCTTCTGTTTTCCAGGCTGGAGTACAGTGGTGTGAACATGACTCACTGCAGCCTCAGTGTCCTGGGCTCAAGGGAACCTCCTGCATAAGCCTCTGGAGTAGCTGGGACTACAGGCATGTGCCTCCATGCCCAGCTAATTTTCTTTTCTTTTTTTCTTTTTGTAGAAATCATGTTTTGCCATGTTGCCCAAGCTGGTCTCAATCTTCTGGGATCAAGAAATCCTACCACCTTGGCCTCACAAAATACTGGTATTACAGATGTGAGCCACTGCACCCATCTGACATTGGAGTTTTGATAGGGATTGCATTGAATCTGTAGAATACTTTGGTTAGTATGCACATTGAGACAATGTTAACCGTTCCAGTTCATAAACATGACACATCTTTCCCTTTATTTGTGTCTTCTTACATTTCTTCCATCAATGTTTTATGGAGGTCAGTGTGTAAATTTTTCACTTTTGTGGCTAAATATATTCCTGCATATATTTCCTTGAGAGTTTTTATCATGAAAGAATGCTGAATATGTCAAATGTTTTTCTGCTTCTAATGAGATGACTGTAAGATTTTTATCCTTCGGCCAGGTGCAGTGGCTCACGCCTGTAATCCAAGCACTTTGGGAAGCCAAGGCGGGTGGATCACGATGTCAGGAGATCGAGGCCATCCTGGCTAACACGGTGAAACCCCATTTCTACTAAAAATACAAAAAATTAGCCGGGCATGGTGGCGGGTGCCTGTAGTCCCAGCTACTCGGGAGGCTGAGGCAGGAGAATGGCATGAACCCGGGAGGCAGAGTTTGCAGTAAGCTGAGATTATGCCACTGCACTCCAGCCTGGGTGACAGAGTGAGACTCTGTCTCAAAAAAAAAATTATCCTTCATTCTGTTAATGTAGTGTATCGCAATAATAGATTGCACATGTTGCACCATATTTGCATCACTGGGATAAATTCTCGTTGATCTTGATGAATTATCCTTTAAATGAACTGTTGAATTCACTTTGCTGATTTTTTTAAAGATTTTTGCATCTATATTTATGAGAAATATTGGCCTGTACTTTCTTTTTCTTGAGTCTTTCTTTGGTTTTAGTATCAAGGTAATTCTGGTATCATAAAGAGCTCAGAAGTATTTCCTCTATTTCAAGTTTTTGGAATAGTTTGAGAAGGATTGGTGTTAGTTTTTTTGCTTGTTTGTTTGTTGGTTTTTGAGACAGAGTCTCCCTCTGTCACCCAGGCTGGAGTGCAGTGGCATGATCTCAGCTCATTGCAACCTTCACCTCCTAGGTTCAAGAGATTCTCCTGCCTCAGCCTTGCAAGTAGCTGGGATTACAGGCACCCACCGCCATGCCCAGCAAATTTTTGTATTTTTAGTAGAGATGGTTTCATCATGTTGGCCAGGCTGGTCTCAAACTCCTGACCTCAAGTGACCCACCTGCCTCAGCCTCCCAAAGTGTTGGAATTACAGGTGTGAGCCACCACGCCCTGCCTAGTTCTTTAAATATTTGATAGGATTCACCTCTGAAGCCATCAGATGCTGGGCTTTTATTAGATGGAAGAGTTTTTTATTACTGATTCCACTTTACTTGTTAAAGTTCTGTTCAGATTTTTTATTTCTCCTTGATTCACTGTTGGTAGGCTCTGTATATGTATATATTTAACTATTTCTTCCAGGTTATTCAGTTTGTTGACTTATAATTGTTCACATTAATCTCAGTTTTTGTATTTCTGTGGTATCAGTTGTTATATCTTTTTTCTCATTTCTCATTTTATTAATTTGTTTCTCTCTTTTCTCTTAGTCTACTAAGTGTTGATTTTATTTAATTTTTCAAAAGTCAAATCATGGGTTTTTTTTTCTATTGTTTACTTAATTTTTTCTTTTTTGGTATAGGCATTTATTGCTATAAATTTTCCTTTAGGTCTGCTTTTACTTTATCTTGTATATTTTGTTATGTTGCTTTTTTCATTTTCATTTGTCTCAATATATTTTTTATTTCCCATTTGGCTTCTTTTTGACCCATTGATTATTCAGTAACATATTCTTTAATTTCTATGTATTTGTAAATTATGCAAGATTTCTCCTGTTACTGATTTCTAGTTCATATCATTATGATAAAAAATTTTGATATGATTTCAATCCTCTTAAATTTATAAGACTTGTTTTGTGCCCGAACATATGATCTATCCTAGAGAAAGTTCCATGTGCCCTTGAGAAAAATGTGTATTTTTTTTTTTGCTATTGGATGGAATTTTTTGTATATGTCTTCTAGGTCCATTTGATCTAAAGTATATTCAAATCCAAAGTTTCCTTTTTAATTTTCTATCTGAAAGATCTGTTCACTGTTGAAAATGGAATATTGCAGTCCACTGCCATTATTGTATTGTAGTCTATCTCTCCCTTCAGTTCTGTTAATATTTGCTTTAAGTACTCCAATGTTGGGTGCAAATTTATTACAATTGTTATATCCTTTTAATGAACTGACCCCTTTTTCCTCACATAATAACTCTGTCTTGTTTTATAGTTTTTGGCTTAATATCTATTGTGTCTGATATAAATACATCTACCTCTGCTCTCTGTTGATTTTCATTTGCATGAAATATCCTTTTTCTTTCTTTCACTTTCAGTCTATGTGCATCTTTAAAGGTGAGGTAACTCTCTTGCAGGCAACTTATAGTAGGGTCTTTTAAACAAAATCCATTCAGCCACTCTATGCCTTTTAATTGGATAATTTAATCCATTTAACATTCAAAACTATTATTTTCAGGTAAAGACTTACTACTACCATTTCATGATTTGTTTTCTGGTTGTTTGGAATATAGTTTGTTTTTTTTCTTTCATGCTACCTTCCTTTGTGCTTTGATAGTTTTTTGGTTTGATGGTTTGATGGTTTTTGTAAGTATGCTTTGAATTCTTTCTATTTATATTTTGCACATCTATAGATGTGCTATTATGAGGCTTACATTAAGTATCTCAGACTTAGGCTATTTCAAGCTAAACACCACTTAACTTTGATCATATCTAACAACTCTTTCTTTTTATTTTCCCTTAATTTGATTTTTGATGTCAATATTACATAATTTTATCATTTGTTTTTCATAATTTATTTTGCCATAGTTTTTAGCAGTTTTATCCTTTAACCAGTATACTAGAATTAAAATTCCTTTACATACCACCATTTCAGACATAGAGTATTTGACTATGAATATATGTTACTTGTATCATTGATTTTTGTATTTTTGTACATTTTATGTTATTAATTAGTGAAATAATTTTTGTTTTTGTTTTTGTTTTTCAGCTTTGAGAACTAGATTAAGTAATTCCTGCAAGGCAAACCAAGTGATGATGAGCTCTCTCAGCTTCTGTTTGTCTGATAAACTTTCTATTCTCTCTCACTTCTGAAGGAAAGCTTTGCCAGGTAAACTATTCTTGGTTTACAGATTTAGTTTTCCTTTAGTAACTTGAATTATCATCCCAGTTTCTCCTGGCCTGCAGTATTTCTGCTGAGAAATCTGCTGATAACTGCACTGGGACTCCCTTTATATGGTATGTTCCTTATCTTTTGCTGCTTTCAGAATTATTCTTTGTCTCTCATTTTTGATAGTTTGATTACTATGCCTTGATAAACTCTTCCTTTCATTGAATTTACTGGAGATGTCTATACTTCTTCTATCTGAATGATGGCATTTTCCCCTAGATTTGAGAAGTTTTTAGCTATTAGTTTTAAAAATATAATTTTTGGCTCTTTTTCTCTCCCTCTTCTCCTTCAGGTAATTCTATTAAGTGAATGTTAAGTGCTCTGGATGGTGTGCCATAAATTCATAGGCTTTCTGTTTTCTTTTTCATTCTTTTTTCTTTTTGCTCCTCTGACTGAATAATTTCAAATGTTTCTGTCAAATTTCAGTCTTGAGCTCAATGACTTTTCCTTCTGCTTGATCAAACCTTCTGTTGAAGCTATTACATTTTTTAGTTCAGTCATTGTGTTCATCTCCAGGATTTCTATTTTTACTGTTTCAATTTTTTTCCAATGCTTCATTTTATTTGTGACTGATTTCCAAGTTTTATTTACCTTTCCATATATTTTTATATCTTTTAAATTCACTGAACTTCCCTAAGAGAACTGTTATTGTCATTTATTTTATAGATCTTAAAACTGTTTTTGTAATTATTTTATAGATGTTCATTTCTTTAGAGGCCACCATCTTTTGAAGATGGCATGATTCCATGATTCTTTATAATCTTTATGTTTTTACATTAGTATATGTGCATTTGAGGAGACATCCACCTCTTTTAGTCCTTACAGACATTTTTGGCAAGGCTATACCTTTACTATTAATTCTAGTATTTGATTCTAGATGGGCCAACTGATAATGGCACCAGGTAGGCAGAGCTTGCTGTTGGGTTCTCTAGCTTGCTGAGCCACCACCTTTGCTCTGAGGTCAGATGTGGCTGCTAGCTGAGCTTTGCTGTCTCATGAGACCATTGACTACATTCTGCAATTAGAGCTACTGGTTAGACACTGAAATTGCCTCTAATAGTGACAGAATGCATGACATATTTCTTAGTACAGTGGTACTGCCATTTGAGTTCTTAAATTTGAGCAGGGAGGCAGATTAGATCCTGAGGTTAAGCAGAATTACTGCTTGGTATAATTGAGACCACCTGCTATGCTCAGTAGAAAGGCATGGTTGAGGTTTGCCTTTTTGCCTGGGTAAAGCCTTTGAGTGGTATTTGAAAATGAGCTGAGCTGCTATTTGAAGGCCCAGGTGGCACAAGTCTAGCCCCTGTGCTTTACTGAAAAGTACTGTTTCAGGCTGTGGCGTCTTGAGGTGGACTTCAATGCTGAGCCAAGCCAGCATTTAAATCCCTGGATGGCACAAGTTTATATTCAGTGCTTTGGTGAAATACTCTGTGGCAGGCATCTCCTTCTCTGGGCCAGAACTTGGGATATGGTATGAGGCTAGGCGTGGAAGCTAGTAGTCTAGAAATTCAAGCCAGATTGAACTTTTCACTATATTTCTGTAAGTGACCAGCTTGTCCTTGTGCGTGGGCTATGTCACCATATTTCTGATTTGACACCTCTGCTAGCAGTAACATGGAGCTACCACCAAGATGTGCATGCTAGTCACTTTGAGCAGTGCCTCCTTTCTTTGTTTTTATCTGACCACAGGCAGTTTAGCCAGGCTGTTACCCTCTGTGTTTCCTGTAAGGTGAGATTGAAGTGGGATTCCTGAGAGGCCCCTTGGAATGCTAGGGAAGTTGGATGTCTGTTTCCAATTTTCTTTTACCCCTGTCTAAACCATGGACACTGGAGAATTTCCTTGTGAGGCATTGTGTCAACTTGAGGGAGTGGGAGGGGCAACAAAGTCGAAGTGAAACCATTTTTCTTACTCTTCTAATGTGGTTTTTATTCAGTTCTGTGATCCATGTGGGCATCTCAGGCCTATTTCTAAGTTTTGGGGTTTTCACCGAAGCATTCTTGTCTGTGTATGGTTGTTAGTTGAACTTTCTGTGGTGGAGAGAGAAACATGGGGTTTCCTATCCCATCACTTTGCTGATGTTACTTCCCAGGTAATCTCTATTTTTAAATATTTATCTTATAATCTTAATTTAAATTGTTACCATTGTTTTACAAATAGAAACACACTTAAAAGTATAATTTTAAAAATAATTTTTCTGAGCATATTGAGGGTGACGTGATTTATTTCTTGGAAACAGATTGGTAAGATACTGGCAGAGCAACAGATAAAGTCCAGGCTGATAGGATAGGACCATATGCAGAGTCCGTAAAGGAGAATTAGATGATTTCTTCTAGGTTTATGAACACATACATTCTTATCCCAAAACCTATTGCCACCAGCTTCATTGTTAAGATGTTGAGATAAAGACAGCATCATCTTCACTCTCTCTACTTTCTATTTCTAGTTGCCCTTAATACTTATTTTATATTTCTTAATTGTTTCTATTATGGAAACATACATAATCATAGGAGAAGTAGCCATAGAAATAGAAAAGCCATGTGATTTGTCTTGGTCACTGAACCCTCATTTTAATGATCCTGCCAGGAGCAGTGTCTCACACCTGTAATCCTAGCACTTTGGGAGGAATTCGAGACCAGCCTGGCCAACATGGTGAAACCCTGTCTCTACTAAAGATACAAAGAAATTAGCCAGGCATGGTGGTATGCACCTGTAGTTCCAGCTAAGGAGGCTGAGGCATGAGAATTGCTTGAACCTGGGAGGTGGAGGTTGCAATGAACTGAGATTGTGCCACTGCACTACAGCCTGGGTGACAAAGGGAGACTCTGTCAAAAAATAAGTTTATAAAAAATAAATAAAAGCTGCTTATTTTGATCACATAGAACTCTGTTTTGTGAGATCGTATGAGAATAATAGGGCTTGCTTTAAACATGTTGAGTTTATATTGCTGTAGCCAATGAATAAAAAAAGTAGCAAAAGAGTTTAACAAAACCCTTTTTTAATACACATTTACCAGGGTAATATAAAATCTCTGCGTATTTGCCATGAAAATTAGATATTTGAGATGATTTATAATAATGTTCACAATAATTATTTAACTTGTTAAACTTATTTTTGAATTTTTGTTAAACATAAAAGCCATTTACAAAAATACTGTACAATAACCTGTATGTGTCAGAAAGAAGTGACATATAAAGAGAAGAACAGACTTTAGAATATTTGCACTTCTTATTCTTTATCATCTTGGACTTTTGGGCAATGTACTACAGTTCTTGCATTCTCATTTTTATGTGGTATCTTATGTTAGAAGAGTATTAATCTGAGTAGTGTATTTCCATTGCTTTGGCCCTAGAGGTGATTAGTCAAACGAAAAAGCCATTAGTTAACTATTGCAAAATTCTCTGGGAAAGGTTAACAATATAATATTGCCATTTCCTTAAATATTTGTTAACCATAAACAGAAATAATCCAACCACCTTACTTCAACTGTGAATGTATCCACAGAATGCTTTCATTGGGAGTTTTGGATGTTCTAAATTTTTCATATACCAAAACTTAGGTCTTTGTATGAAAATCAGGAATCCTTACAGACCTGCGAATACTGGCTGATTGGCCTGATTTCATCCTCACTGTGAAGTATATATCCATAGCCATGAATTAAGCACTGTGAATGTGATAAACTGAGTTTCTACTGTAATTAAAAAGACCAGCATGACATTGTGTTACTATAATGCATGCTGACACCCAACCCATTAATGTTTCCTTTATTCTTCCTCCATCCCAGGGTTTCATTCATTTTAAAGCTAACAGAAAAACAACAGATTTTTATAATTAAGTTCCTGAGAAACCATGATAAATACAGCATTACACATACTGTCGATGATATTTTGGATTTTGTAAGACACCAGAGATCAAAACATGCCAAATTGGACTTCTTGTCATTGTCTATACAAACAAAACTCACAGACATCAAAGCCACTATGACCATGCTGCTGATGCAAGGACTGGTGTGTGCAAGAAAGTTTGTATTTGGAACCATCTCTATCTTACACTTTTCAAAGTAAGATAACCTAGGTACTTCCTACTTAAAACTCACATGTCAATATGTTTTTGTGCTTCTCAAAACCTTCCTGGGCTAAGGCACATGGAGCAAATGTTAATTTGCTCAAGAGTCCTGTCCTTTGCCTGTGTTTGTTACCATTAAACTATGACATGGGCATCATGGCTTCTCCTGAAGTCATTGTTTATGCTTTCATCATATTATTCTCCCTTGCAAATGCTATTGTTCCTGAGTATAATAAATCACCGGATTTCCTTATCGCAAGCTTGTTTGCCTTTCTTACTTGCTTTCTCTGTTATCTAATATTTTAGTAATAATAACAACTACTTTCCATTGAGTAGTTCATTTGTGTCAGGCCCTAAGCTAAACACTTTATGTTCATAATGATATTGAAGCAACATTACAAACTTATAAATCCTGTTAACAACCCCATATTTTAGATAAAGAAAAGAGGCTCAGAGAGGTTAAGTCGCTTACTCCAAGTCACACAGCTAGAGAGAAACCGATCAAGCTGTGAGCTTTGAGGTTCTAACCCAATGTGTCTAGTTCCCAAGTGTGTCCTCAAAGCCATCAAACTTTTCTTCTTCCTATTATATTCAGTTGGTCACAGAACTTTATTGCTATTTTTAAAAATATGAATATCTTCATTTCCATTCTTCCTTTCAACTATTTCAGCTTAAATTATTTCATTTATTTATTTATTTTTGAGACAGATTCTCACTCTGTTGCCTAGGCTGGAGTGCAGTGGTGCTATCATAGCTACCTGCAGCCTCAACTTTCTGGGCTCAACTGATCCTCTCACCTCAGACTTCCAAGTAGCTGGGACTACAGCGTGTGCCACCACATCTGGCTAATTTTTGTACTCTTTTTTGGTAGAGATGGGGTTTTACCATGTTGGCCAGGCTGGTCTCAAACTCCTGACCTCAAGTGATCCTCCTTCTTCGGCCTCCCAAAGTGCTAGGATTACAGACATGAGCCACCATCGTGCCTGGCCACAGCTTAAATGATTTTAAAATCTTGCAGTCATATCCTTAAATACTTGTTGTTGTCCTACAATATGACATTTAAACAGATTAGTTACTGTCACTAAATACTTCCAAAATGATAAATAAAATGTCAGATTAACCATGCAAATTTTAGTCAGCTTAAGTAATTTTTAATAAAGTGAGAAATGGCAGAATGGTATACCTTAATTCCTGGGAAAAATTTAGCATCATGTTTTTAAATGAACGACAGATGTTTTTAAAGTATCTATCTTGTTATTTGCAGCTAGTTTATAATATCTAAATATAGATCTCAAAATAGACATTTTAACTATTCAATGTAACTAGTTCTCTTTGAAATCTACTTTTCCGTGCATCATTTCACTCAAAGCAGAGAGCTCATTTTCAGTCAGGTATAATTTTATTACTATGCCCCTTTGGGGGGCACCGAAAAGATAATCAAGATAAATGATGTTTTTTATCATTTTTAATATTTTTTCTTAAAAAAATCAAGTTGACATACCATAACCTGTGGGCCATCTACCTATTTTTATAAAGAGAGTTTCATTGGAACCAGAGTTTGGAGTAGGGTTAGTTGAGTAAATACATTCTGCAAGTATAGAATCAGATCTTGTCTTTATTTAAATCTGTAATATTTTGTTCATTACATTTCTAAAAATAATTTAGATTTACAATATTGCACTAAAATATTATTTATCTTGATTCCTGAATGTTTTCCTCCCCCACCTTTACCCACTTAAATTTTGTGCCTGAGTCTGAAAAGTGAGTCTCACTCACTTTATCTTAGTTTTAAGCCTGGTATACATGTGTGAAACTGTCAATGCAATCAAGATGTTAAGCATGTCTGTCACCCCAAAAAGTCTCATGTCCCTTTGTAATCTCTTCCTTCTGCCACTCCCCACTTAGACCTCTCCCAGTAACCAGGTAACCACTAATCTGTTTTCTATTACCATATATTAGTTTGAATTTCCTAGAGCTTTATATAAATGACAATATAGAGTATCCTTTCTCTTTTATCTTCTTTCATCCAGCATAATTATTACCATGTTGTGACATGTTCACTCTTTTTTTAAGTGCTAAGTAGTATTATGTCCTTCCACCTGTTGATGGACATTTGGGTTGTTTCCAGTTTTAAAGTATTACAAATAAAGCTGCTTGAACATTCATGTGTAAGTCTTTGTAGGTATATATGCTTTTCTTTCTCTTATCTAAATATCTAGGAGTAGAATTCCTGGATCAAATGATAAATGTATGTCTAACTTTTTAAGACGTTGCCAAACTATTTTCAAAATAAATGAATCATTTTATGTTCTCAGCAGCAATATGTGAGAATCCTAGGTCCACCACACCCTCACTGACATTTAGTTGGAGAGGTGCGATGAGGAGATCTGACAGAAAATAAAAGTGAGGGAGGACTTGCAAACTGCCTTTACTTTGAGTGTGTTCCCCAATCCACACAAAGATCGACTGGTTAAGTGTAGAAGGCTTATGAGTTCAAGTTGTTTATGTATAACCGCTAACAAATCATTAAGTGACCACTAAGATATGTTGACAAAGGTGCAATCCCTAAAAATCCAGGCTTAAAAATTAAATTAGTAATGAAAAAATAATAAATCAGAGCAGAAACATTAGCAACTGCACATTGTGTGCAAGAAAGACTATAGAATTGGCTGGGCGTGGTGGCTCACACCTGTAATCCCAGCACTTTGGGTGGCCAAGGGGGGCGGATCACCTGAGGTCAGGAGTTCAAGAGCAGCCTGGCCAACATGGTGAAACTCCGTCTCTACTAAAAACACAAAAATTAGCTAGGTGTGGTGGCACACGTCTGTAGTCCCATCTACTCAGGAGGCGAAGGAAAGAGAATCGCTTGAACCCGGGAGGCGGAGGATGCAGGGAGCCAAGGAACCCGGGAGGCGGAGGATGCAGGGAGCCAAGATCGTGCCACTGCACACCAGCCTGGGCGACAGAGTGAAACTCAGTCTCAAAAAAAAGACTATTTAATATAGCAACATACTAAATAAAAATCCCCCCCTAACACACACACACACACACACACACACACACACACACACAAAATCAGTGACAATTCTTTGGGGGAAGAAAGTATTAGTTTTCTTTGCTGTAATTGCTACAGCCTAGTGACTTAAAGCAACATAAATTTATCATCTCAGTTTCCATGAGTCAGAAGTCGGGGCATAGCTTAACTGATTCCTTTGCTCAGTTAATCAATAGCTTAACTGATTCCTTTGCAAGGCAAGAGTTAAGCGGTCAGCTGGGGCTGAGGTCTCATCTGAGGCTTAGGTCTTCAGAATTTATATGACTGTTAGCAGAATGTATTTATTTTCTTACAGCCATGGAACTCATGGTGGCTTCCTTCCTTAGGATGAACGAGAGAGAGAGAGAGAGAGAGAGAGAGAGAGATCTGCTGCTAGTCCCTAATTTCCTGAATGTCTCTAAAGGGCTTCCCAATAGGTCACACTCACCTAAGATAATCTCACTTTTGATTAACTCTAAGTCAGTTGGGTAGAAACCTTTATTTCATTTGGAAAAATCCATTTACCTTTACTATATAATATAAACTAATCATGGTAGTGACATCCATCAAGTTCATAGGTTCTGCTCAAACTCAAGGAGATTATTCAGTACATGTACACTAGAAAGTAGGAATTCTGAAGGTCATCTTATAATTCTGTAACAACAAAGACTTGCTATATTATCTAAAATGTAAAATTTCAACAAAAAATTATAATACTTGAAATGGAGAAGGGTTACTTGTACACAGAAAAAAAAAGCAGCCAATATATATTGTATTGAAAAGGGCCAGGATGTTGTATTTAGCAAACAAAAATGTCAAAACAGTGGTCACAAGTGTGTTCAAAAACTAAATGAAATAATGTTTAAAGAATTAAAGATAAGTATGATTACTTACTCATCAAAGAACAAATTGCTCATCAAATAAAGAATAAAAAAAGAGATAGAAATTATTTTTTCAAAAAAATTTTCTGAGCTTCAAAAGCACAGTAACAGAAATAAAACATATCAGAGAGGCTCCAAGCTACTTTAAACTGGTAGAAGAGAGAATCTGTGCATAATAGATCAGTAGAAATTGTCTAATTTGAAGAAACAAAGAGGGAAGAGTAAAGAGTGAAGAAAAATGAACACAGCCTTAAAGACCTGGGGGACATCACTGAGTGAACCCATACATATGTATATAATGGAAGTTCTAGAAGGAGAGGTGATAAAAGAATAAATATATATATATAGGACTCATAGCAAAAACTTCCCAAACTTGATTGAGAACATTTAACTACACATCTAAGAATCTCAAAAACTCCAAGTAGAACACACTCAGAGATATGTACCCAAATGTATTGTGGTCAAACTGTTGAAAGCCCAAAACAGAAAATGTTAAAAAGAAAAAAACCACACACACAAGAGAAATATGACTTAAAATATACAGGCTAACTACAATAAAATTCAGAGTACTTCAGACCCAATGGAGGTCAGAGGCCAAGAGAATGGCATATTTAAATTATTAAAAGAAAGAAATGCCAATCATAAATTTTATATTCAGCAAAACTATCCTTCATAAATGAAGGTGAAATAAAAACATTCCTAGCAGACCTGCTTTATGATAAATACTAAAGGAAGTCCTTAAGGCTGAACAAAATTATACTAAGTAGTAACTCACATATACCTGAAAAAATAATGTTTATGGTAAAGGTAATATAAAAAAGTATATATATATTTACATGTATGTGTGTATATATATTTACATGTATATATATATATCTTTTTTAACGAATTTAAAAGACAACCATATAAAAATAAACGTTATCAAACTGTATCATTGCCCTTATAATGTATAAACATATAGTATACATGACAACCATAGCACAACATAGGAAGGAGAAAATAGAGCTATATCAGAAAAAAACTCCTATATTATTGCACAACTCTATAAATTGTACTTTAGAAATTATTGTATTGTACACGTAGGATAGTGTATTAGTTCATTTTCATGCTGCTGATAAAGACATACCCAAGACCACGTAATTTATAAAGGAAAACAGTTTTAATGGACTCACAGTTCCCTGTGGCTTGGGAGGTCTCACAATCATGGTGGAAGGTTAAAGGCAAGTCTTACACAGCAGCAGACAAGAGAGAATGAGAACCAAGTGAAAGGGGCTCCCCCTTATAAAACCATCAGATCTCATGAGACTTATTCACTACCATGAGAAGAGTATGGAAGAAACCACCCCCATGATTCAATTATCTCCCACTGGGTCCCTCCCACAGCAAGTGGGAATTAAGGCAGCTACAATTCAAGATGAGATTTGGGTGGGAACACAGCCAAACCATATCGGATAGGAAAATTTTATGATATACAGATTATATCTCAATAAATTTGGTATAAAAAAAATCAGGGCCAAATTTCTGCCAGGTATCACTTTACACTTTTATAAAAATAAATATTTTTCTAGAGTTCCAGTGACTTCCTTACTGGTCTAAAGAGCACTACAAAAATAATGCATGTAAATTATGCTTTTTCATAACTATTTACACTTAACATTTGTTTCAATGAAATGAAGCCAAAACATAAAATTCCAAAGCAAAGTTAGATCATGAATTGGCAGTGGAAGTCTGTACAGTGATGTCTGAATAGAGAGGAAAAAATAAAGCTGGAAAATTGAATCCAAATAGGGACCCTAAAGCTTCTGATATTGCCCCAGGTATTGTGTACAATATAAGGAGGACTTACAATGTAAGGAAGTTTTATAGTTCAACTGAAGGCTTGCAGTGGGAGTCAGAATGGCTAGCTCTGTGTTCTGACTGACTTAGAGGAAGCTTTCTCCACAACATTGTGCTAAACATTCTCTTGGGATAGCATGCTATTTATCACTAGAAAAAAAAATTGTTTTGTAGCATGATGTGTTAGAATGTTGTTTCACTCTAAAGATGATGCTTTCTAGTGGGAGTTCAGCAGAAAATATAATGAAATTTGTACAAAATCCCACATAACCAAATCATTAGTTAGAACCATATTTTGGAGTTTTATAAAGTATTAATTCTAAAATATGTTCATGTAACAAGCATAAAACCAAGCTAAGTATAGCAAACAATGTAATCAGGAAATACCTGATTTAGGCTGCATTAGTAAATAGACATGAATATATATCAAAACTACACACAGATTTGCAGGAACTTCCTAATTCCAAATCATGGACAACTGTGTTTCTGAAATTCTTGGGTTGTTATTCATTATGAAAATGGTGTGTATTGGAAAATAAAGGTTAGTAATTTTGAGTTACAGTTTTATAATATAAATGATGTATTTCAATAATTATCTTGAGAGTTACACATTGGTTCAAAGAAATTTAGCACAATGGATTCCTCTGTTTCTAGGAAAAACAAGAATGAATCCATTACAAAGAATATAAAGAGGAAAATATTCTATTAGTGTATTATTTGTTATTTGACAATGTCTTATTAATTACATAGCATCTTTTATATCTATAACCTCAGCTTTCAGCTCCTCATTCATTCCTTAATTCATTTACTTAATTCATAATTAACTTTTTAAGGAATGAAACTGGATGACAGAGGAGTGAATAGTGTATCAATTCCAGGTTCAGACCTTGGTTTGGTCTTTATTTTTCATTCCTTTCTTCTCACTTCCTACCTCTCTACCTTCCCTTTTTGACTGTTTGGTAGAGAAAAGCATTCAAAACTGATAATAGAAAATAAGACAAAAGTACTATGGGAGTCTTGGCATTGGCAGCCATCTCACAATCTTTCTGTTGCTGTTTTCTTTTATCTATTTCAGCAAGAGTTAATCTGCACAGCCGTCACTGAATCTATATTGGTAAGACAACATGTTGCATGGTTCTGAAAGGATATTCTATATTCCTTACTGCCTGCAGAAAAAGGGGACAATAAACAGCAGAAACAAATACTATTTACACTAGACAAAATGACAACACCACTCACTGGCGGATGGGCTGGACTGCTTACCTAATCCTATACATGCTGTGAGGTTAGCCACCCTCCACAAGGGATCATCTTCTCTCGGCTGTTGGTTAGTGACCCAGGGGTCAGAGGGTGGAGAGATACCTGGAACGGCATAATTGCGTTGGACTTAGGTCATTTTCTCCATATCTGTTTCCCCCTCTACTCTAGGCTGGACCTTATACTGAAAGGTAGTGGTGGTAAGGCATCATCCTAGAAGCAGTCCCTTCTCCTGGCTGATTGTTGTTGACTGATTGCTCATCAGAGCAGCTTTACATATATTACCTTTACTCTTCTCAGGAACATTTGCACTTGTAGGAGGAGACTCTATTCCAACTTTCCTCATCCGTTGGAGATAGAAATGAGTACAGTAATTCAGTAGTTACTGCAAGACTCATGGATCTTATTGGGGCACAGAAACTAATATAGTATGGATATTTGTCCCCTTCAAATCTCATGTTGAAATGTGATTTCCAATATATTAGAGGTGGGACTTGGTAAGAGGTGTTTGGGTCATAGGGGCAGATCCCTCGTGAATGGCTTTATGCCCTACCCAGGATAATGAGTGAGTTATTGCTCTGTTAGTTCACTCAAGAGCAGGAGGCTGGCACCTCCCCCACTCTCTTTTTCCCTCCCTCACCACGTGACATGCCTGCGAGCACACCTGCTCTGCCTTTGCCTTCTGCCAAAAGTAAAAGCTTTCTCAGGCCTCAATAGAAACCAAGCAGATACTGGTGCAATGCTTGTATAGCCTGCAGAGCCATGAGCCAAATATACCTTTTTTCTTTATAAATTACTCAGTCTCAGGTATTCCTTTATAGCAGTGCACAATAGACTAATACAGAAGTTGATAGCCCAAAATGTGGCATTTTGACATGCTGAACTGAAGAAGCTTCAAGCTGTCTCTGGCCTTCCCCTTCCCTCTGATTCTCCCAAAGCCTTTATCTACCTAAGATCAGACCCAACAAAAGAAAAAAAAGTTTTTGTTCCTCTCCTTATAATACCAAAAGTGTAACCACACCTGAACAGAATCTTTCACAAGATAATGTACAAGTTAATTTCTGTTTCCTGATCTATTTATCCTTCCTAGTAATCCACTCAACAGAATTTCTCTTTTCCTGAACCATGCTGTGGGATAGGAAATCACTCAGTGATTTTCCTATGTATACACATTAAATAGTTTTGTATACTTTTCTCCTATTAATCTGCTTCATGTCAGTAATTTTTAATGAACCTTCAGAAGCCCAAGGGGAACTTTCAAATTTCAAGTTTTCTATCTCCACAAAGCTTAACAAGGGCAAGAAAATACGGATACATCTAGAAGTTCCTCTCCTTGTAGGCAAAGAATACCTAAAATCTCGAAAAGGAGAGGCAGGCTAACTGTCTAACTTATAATTCAGACCACTCTCCTCTCACAGCTAATGTCTATCTAAGTTCAGCTTTCATGATTCTAGATTGCCATCTAGTACTGGATTCAGAAGGAGGAGAACTGATGTTCATTCTAATGTCTTCAAACAATATTACTTTGCTTCCTGTGTGTTCCAGCTCCCAAAAAACTCCATCAAGTTATGCCTCTCAATACCCTCCAATGAAACTGATAGTGAACTGAAATAATAAATGAATTAATTAAAGTAGCAGGAAAATAGTTAACACACAAAATCAATGGTCTACAAGTATATGAACAATAATGAGATGATGTTAAAAAAAACACTTTTGTAATTGCTACAAAATAAAAGATAAAATATTTATGAATAAATATAACAAATATGCAAAGCCCACATTGAGGAAAACTTTAAAACACTCATGAAATACAGAAAAGTAAGCCTCACTAAATGGGAAGACATTAGTTGCAATACAACATTACAAAAGCCTCATGCATGATTATCTCCTTTAGATAATTCATAAATTTAATATGATGTCAATAAAAATATAACTTTTTTCCCCTGGAGGTAGAAAAGTTGATTCTAAAGTTCTTATGAAATTAAAAAGATCAAATCATAAAACAGAAGACCAATTGCAGGTGACTAGTTTAACAGTTATTTAAAATACTACAAAGCTCCCATACTTAAACATTGTGTTACTTGTAAGTTAATAAACAGAAGGCTAATGAAAGGGAATAGTAAAATCAGAAATAGACCATGTTCATATAAAAATTTAGTATATATTAAACATGGCAAAATGATGGAATTTTAATAAAAGATGTTGGGACAAATGATAATCAGTGGGAAAAAACCATAAAATTTAAAGCATACTTCACAAAATCCAAATAATAAACTCAAAATAAAAAATCAATTATTCTGTAGGTTACCTGTTTACTCTGTTTATTGTTTCTTTTTCTGTGCAGAAGCTCTTTAGTTTAATTAGGTCCCACTTGTCAATTTTTTGTTTTTATTGCAATTGCTTTTGAAGACTTAGTCATAAATTCTTTCCCAAGACTGGTATCCAGAAAGAATGGTGTTTCCTAGGTTTTCTTCTAGGATTCTTATGGTTTGAGGTCTTACATTTAAATATTTACTACATCTTGAGTTAATTTTTATATATGATGATAGATAGTGGTCCAGTTTTATTCTTCTGTATATGTCTAACCAGCTGTCCTAACACCATTTATTGAATAGAGAGTCCTTCTCCCATCACTTATTTTTGTTGACTTTGTTGAAGATGAGATGGTTGTAGGTGTGTGGCTTTATTTCTGGGTTCTCTATTCTGTTCCACTGGTTGATGTGTCGGTTTTTGTAGCAGTATCATGCTGTTTTGGTTACTGTAGCCTTATAATATAGTTTAAAGTTCTGGTAATGTGGTATCTCCAGCTTTGCTCTTTTTCCTTAGGATTGCTTTGGTAATTGGGGTCTATTTTGGTTCCATATGAATTTTAGAATAGTTTTTTTCTAGTTTGGTGAAAAATGACACTGGTAGTTTAACAAGAATTGCACTGAATCTGTAGATTGCTTTGGGCAGTATGGCCATTTCAACAATATTGATTATTCTGATCCCTGAGCTTGAAATATTTCTCCTTTTATTTATGTCACTTATGATTTATTTTAGCAGTGTTTTGTAGTTCTCCTTGTAGATATCTTTTACCTCCTTGGCTAGATGTATTCCAAGTATTTTATTTTTTATACAGTCAACCTACAGAATGAGAGAGAATATTTACAAACTACATAGCCAGAAAAGGTCTAATATTCAGAATCTATAAGAAACTTAAACAATTCATTATGCAGAAAACAAATAACTTCATTTAAAAGTACGCAAAAAAATGAACAAACACTTCTCAAAAGAAATCATACAAGCAGCCAACAAGCATATGAAAAAAGGCTCCACATCACTAATCATAAGAAAAATGCAAAGCAAAACTACCATGAGATGCCATCTCACACCTGTCAGAATGGCTACTACCAAAAAGTCAAAAAACAACAGATGCTGGTGAAGCTGCAGAGAAAAGGGAATGCTTATAACTGTTGGTGGGAATGTACCTTAGTTCAATCACTGTGGAAAGCAGTTTGAAGATTTCTCAAAGAACTTGAAACAGAACTACCATTCAACACAGCAGTCCTGCTGTTGGCTATATACTGAAATGAAAGTAAATCATTCCACCAAAAAGACACATACAGTAACATGTTCATTGCATCACCATTTATAATAGCAAAGACATGGAATGCAATCAAGATAGGCGCCCAGCAGTGGTGGACTGGATGAAGAACATGTGGTACAGGCCGGGAGCGGTGGCTCACGCCTGTAATCCCAGCACTTTGGGAGGCTGAGGCGGGCGGATCACGAGATTAGGAGATCGAGACCATCCTGGCTAACACAGTGAAACACCGTCTCTACTAAAAATACAAAAAATTAGCCGGGCATGGTGGCAGGCACCTGTAGTCCCAGCTACTAGGGAGGCTGAGGCAGGAGAATGGCGTGAACCTGGGAGGCACCACTGCACTCCAGCCTGGGCGATAGAGCGAGACTCTGTCTCAAAAAAAAAAAAAAAGAAAAAGAAAAAGAGCATGTGGTACATATACAGCATGGAATACTATGCAGCCATTAAAAAAATTAAAATGATATCTTTGCAGCAGCATGGATGCAGCTGGAGGCCATTATCCAGAACAAATTAACATGTGAACAGAAAACCACTTATAAGTGAAACATTCAGACAGCTAAACATTTACTACTCAGGAACATAAAGATGACAATAATGGACACTAGAGATTACTAGAGTGAAGAAGTAGGTGGGGCGGGGTTTGAAAAGCTAACTATTGGGTACTATGCTTAGTACGTTGGTGACAGTATCAATTTTATCCCTAACCCCAGCATCATGCAATATACCCAGGTAACAAACCTGTACATGAGCCCCCTGAATATAAAATAAATAAATAAGTAAACAAAAATAAATACAAAAACTAAGTGCAAAAAAAGAAAATCATAGAAGTACTAGAAGGAAACATGTAAATTCCTTTATATTCTCAAGATGGGAACATCTTTCTATTGTTCAAAATCAGAAACAAAAAAGAAATACAAGTTCAACTACCTTAAAAAATTTCTACATGCCAGAAAACAACTCAGCAACAAAAACAAACAAACTCAAAAGATAAATGATAAACTGGGAGGAAATACATGCAAAAAGCATCATAAAAGGGCTAATATTGTTAATAAATAGACAACATTTAAAAATTGGTGCTAAAAAGACTGAATAAAAACCCACTAGAAAAATGATTAAGGGCCTCACAGTTTACAGAAATGAAAAAGCTTAGCATATGTGTAATCTGATTTCCTAAGGAGAGGACCTAAAATATATATGAAACAAAAATGGCAAAATATTTTCTGACTTTAAAACATATTGTTAGTTCATAGATCAAAGAAACACAATAAAGTCCAAACAGGATAAATACAAAAAAAAAAAACACACAAAAACCCATCATGCAAATTTCTGAAAATTAGTGATTAGGAGAAAATCTAAAAGCAACCAGGAGGTGGGGGTGGAGGAGGGCACACATCACAGATTCATATTTTGATGTCCTGAACCCAGTACCTCAGAATGTGACTATATTTAGAGATAAGGCTTTTAAATAGGTAATTAAGGGTAACTGAGGTCACATAAGTGCACCCTAATTCAATCTGATTGCTGTCCTTATCAAAAGGGGAAATTTGGAAGCATAGAGAGCTATCATGGGAATGCACACACAGAGAAAAGGCTGGTGACAAGATGGCCAGCCATCTGCAAGTCCAGGAGAGAGCCCTTAAAAGAAACTACTTGCTGATACCTTAATATTGGAATTCTATTCTACAGAACTGTGAGAAAATAAATTTCTGTTGTTTGAGCCATCCAGTGTGAGGTATTTTGTTATGGTAGCTGTAGCAAACTAATGTACACATTAAGAACAGAGAAATAAAGAGTGACCCCAGAATGAGCTTTTTGTATCTATAATGTATAGAAAGGGATAATTCCAGGGCTGTGTTGCTATTAATAGCATAGGGCATTAGGAGAGTACAGAAGGAAATTGATATAAATTATTAGTGGACTTTTCATGCCGTATAGAAGAATATCGATAGTAACCTTGTAGCTATAACTTACCCAGCATTTTTTAAAGTTTGATCCTAAGAATTAGTTCTATAGAATGTTAATAAGTTTTCTTTGGAAAATAAGGGGCTTTAGAAAATTTTGTAATTTGCTATAAATCAAATACTTTTCTTGATTCAGGAAAATGCATCTACCAAACAGCGTAAGGTAATATGTGATGGCTTTTTCTAAATACTTTAAAAACAAAAATTTAATTCACTTATTTGGACACTGATAAATGTTCACTGATTATATCTGAAAACTGCAGAAAGGAAATGTATTTTTCCCCTAAGCACGTTTGTATGATGTTGATCTTAAAGATACTATGATCTCAAATTAAATATTTGAAATATCTTTTGTAACTCTTGATTGACTGTCTAAATCTTTGCTTAATTGAGATCATGGGTACAAAATATCAGCAAGACAAGATAGCATTTCTGATTTAATTAGATTTTCCTATTTGATTAAATTGGTTTTCAACTACATTTGAGAACAAGAGAAGACCAGTTCCAAGAAGATTTTGTACTTCCAGTCTGGCCTTTTAAGACATATCAAGGTTTTTCTGGTGTAAGTATTTTACTGATTATCTCATAAAATCATTTCATGACAAATTCACAGTACAGTGGTTTTATGGTAAATGGAGAAAACAGAATGCACATAAAAATTTCTTCTAAAATCAAATCCAACTGCCTGCTATTTAGTATCCACTATACCTTCATTATGATTAGGAAATGTCAGCTGTATTTCTATTTTCTTAAATTATTATTTGATGAAGTATTTTTAAAAAACTGTTAATTCTGAATTCCATGGATTTCGCTTTAGTTGTAGTTGTTTGCCAGTTCCTTTGAGTTCAACATGCTGCAAGTTCACTCTGGTTTTAATGAATCAGAAGACTCCCACCTGGCACAGACTATCATTTGTTTGTTCAAAGTGACCTTCATTTTCTTGGGAAAGCATATTGTACAGATGACATAGTTATTCTAGGTTTCCATGCTACTAGTTGTTAAAGGAAAAAAAAAACTCAGATTGGCATATTTACTTTTTGAAGCAGAGAAAATGTAAACAGTTTTATGAGATTTAGTTTCATAAGAGTTGCACTCACCATCTCAATTATTTAAATATGAATAAAAGTGAATTCCTTCAAGACTGGTACAAAGCCAATGCTTGATTTAATAAACAGATGTATGAACAGAATTCTTTATAAGGAAACTAAATAGCTGAGAGAGGAGAAGGACAGAGCTGACATAAACCAAAAAAGTCTCCATAAAATTACAGAACATTAGAACTTGCAGTTCTCATAGAAACAATCTTCAGATAAATGGATCAAAAACTAAAGAGTGTTAGTGATTTTCCAAAGATGGTACAAGTAGGAGATTCTGTGGGATTGTCTTTGAATGTGAATAATTAGTGTGCCAAAACTTTGCATTAACATTTCCTATAGCTTGTTCCTCAAGACTAAGTGTGGTAAATCTCTGCTAATGCCAATACCTGGCTTAACAAGACCATTTATTTAGAAACTGTCACCCTAGCCAAAAACTTGTTCTCTCCATGCAACAGCTGCCTTTTGAACAATTTTCTTCTGGTCACCGTTAGGATTTTTCATTTCATTTCATTTCATTTCATTTCATTTCATTTCATTTCATTTCTGTTCTTCTCCAGGCTCCCCAACATTCTGCTACTAAATTTCCATAATCCTCTTTCCTCCTTTGTAAAATGGGAAACAAAATCATAGAACTTTTATCCATGTAGCTGTTGTTAAAGCAAATTATGATCTTGTAAGCAAAGCATTTGTCATGTTATCTGAAACATAGTAAGTTTTCAGTGTGTTTGTTCTTAATTCTAAGGAGTGATATTATTGTAAAAAGCAAGTTAATTCTGTTAAAAGTCTCTCATTTAAAGTTTTTTTCCATTCTTGCATTTGAGGGAAGTAAGAAATAACAGGCGATCAAGCATGCAGAATCTTGTCATTTTGCTTTGTTATAACAGCATATTCCAGTCATAGACTGTCATATCTCACTATTTAATTGGACATGCATGAAAGGACAGAAAAGAGAGGAAAAATAACATTTTTGTGAATATTGTTCTTTTAGTGGCATTGCAGCATATAAAACATTAGAGTTACACATCTTATTTCAAATGTAAATATTTCTTGTCTACTACTTTCTGTTTGTTCTTTACTCTGGAAACACTATTAATGCGTGTGTAAAAATCTAGTTACCATGGTGATAAGTCTGGTTTTGCTCTTAGTTGTTACCTCTTTTCTTTTCTTTATAAATTTATCTCATAACATTTTTCTAAATTTCAAATTACAATTGTTTGGTAAAATAATTACTCTAAATAATAAAATAAAAATTTATATAATTTTAGGGCAAAATTATTTAGAGCTTTAAGAATTAATAGCATTATTATAAATGACTCTCATCCTCTTGATTTTATCTAATGTACTTGATTTTTGAAAAGATGAGACCAATATTCAAGGTTGTGTTTATTAATCTTTAATTGTAGTATAAATTCTGGCACTAGGTTAGGTCAATTCTACAATAGTCATTGTGGCCTATTCATTTGGTTATCATTTGTTTAAAAAAAAAATTGTAGGCCAGGCACAGCGGCTAACACTTGTAATTCCAGCACTTTGGGAAGCCAAGGTGGGAGGATTCCATGAGGCAAGGAGTTCAAGACCTGCCTGGGCAACAAAGTGAGACTCTGTCTCTACAGAACAATTTTTAAAATGCTTTTTAAAAAGAAATGATCCAGCACAATAAGAGGCTATCCCATACATTCCTTCCCTTCGCTAGGAAATTCTCAGCACCAGCAATGCCTGATGTACAGCTGAGTCCAATTAGCTTCACAAGTAGCATGTGACCACAGTCCAACTATAACAATGCAATGAATGATCAGTGACCAATCAGAACTTCTGTGAGAATTTGAAATTTGGCTTTCAAAGGATGTAGATTCACAAGTCATGCAAATTTTTGTCAGGAATGAAAGTTCTTTTTGTAGCAAGAAGTAGGCGACTTACTAAGAAAACAGAGTGAGAAATAATTTGACTCTAGAGGGATGGAAAAAGTAGTTGCCCTGATGGCTTCACAATTCATGACTTCAACAAGGCTCAATTCTGCTTTTCCCTCATATCCCTTCGAAACATTTCCTCTTTATTTGAATGGATTCCTGTTCCTTGTCACCAAAGAAACATCAATACTAATACTCTTGGTGATGCATTTACAAGGAGATCTAATGAAGCCCATGTATGCAGGATCATTTTAAAAAGACACTGTAGTTCTATTTTGTTGGCACATAGATCCAATTTAAGTTCAGTGGCTCAAATTACACTGTTTAATTGCTTGAAAATCAGCAGAATTTGGTGGTACTTTCTTAGAGATTAACTCTTGGAGTTGAGTAGTATCCTCAAGACTTGTCAAAATATTACCAATAAGGTATTGAGATACTTTCATAAGATAACAAAGTGGCTCTAATGATAATTTCCCATTCCCAGTTGGCTTACATATTAAATACCAAAAGATAATTCTGAACTCGTGCACTTCTATTGCTCACACAGTCTTTTAAACTGAAAGCAATGTCCAATTAAGGACATAAATGTTTAATAAAAGTTGAGATACATGTTTTTAATACTGAATTTAATAAAAATATGTCACATCTTTCATTACATGAAGATCCTCATTGCCTACAGAGTAAAATCTAGAGGTAACATAAATGCAGGCACAGGTAACATAAGTGGCATAAGTGAAATAAATGCGGTCTGGCATAAGTAACAAAAGTACAGCTTCAGCATACTTTTTTAGACTCAGCATCCCAACGCTGGCCACCCTCTAAGCTACAATCATGCAGAATCACTTGCTACTTGCACAAAACACCATGATTTGGACATTCTAATGCTATCAAAATAACATCCAAGCCAGTCTCAGTTCCTACTTTCTCAATCTCAAGTATGGAGCTTCACGGGGGACAGCATTTGGAAGTAAATTGCTGTATAAGGACATCAAATATTTGGGGAAATATGACAGCTGGTATTTGTTGTTTGGAAAAATGATCCAGCTATAGAGCAGGCTTATTTGGGACCTTAAAGTGAGTAAACAGGGATCACATCATGGCCAGAGATAAATATTTTCTTTTTCTTCTTCAGGGGCCCTGGAGGCAAGGAGAAGGAATTGTTCTTGCTAGCAACTGAGCAACTGGTTACGCTCACCACAAAAAAACATAAAAAAAAAAAATTTATTTAACATTTTTTCTTACACAAGCCTGCCAGAGCCAGAGAAATCTCAAACAGAGATTAAGTGTAAAAAGACGTTTGGCATCTGTATTGTTAGTTCCTGGAATGGGTATGTGGCATAAAATTGGAAATCTCAGAGTCTATAGCTTTTTATTTTATTTTCAGTGTTTATATGTGGGTTTCTTTTTCTTTTTCTCTTATTCCTTTCCTCTATTTTCTTAGTTGAATCTAAGAAAATCATTTGATTCTTTGTTGAAAGTCAAGTCAGGCTACAGTCCGAAATAAGGAGAGAACAAGGACTTTATAATGTCTTAAGAAAAATTATCTTAAAGAAAAAGATAGATTATGTTTGAGTACTAATATAAGACAAAATTTATTGCTTCAAATTTAGCCTCTAACGTAGGGGTTTGAGAAATGCCAACAGCAGCAGCACAATAGCACTAGCTACCATGAGATTTGTGAGAAAAACACATGACAGAAGTTATATGGATTCCTACTGGGATACTGGAGGCAGGGATTATGAAGGTTTCACAGCGAAAGCAGAGGACTAAACAAACAGCAAACAAACAAACAAAAAACCCTTGAATTCTACAGAGCACAGTGAAAAGTATGTGACAGTAAAATTAATTGTTCAACAAAATGTTCCCCACAAAACTGTTTAAATTATGAACCCTGGACAACTGGTATGCACAGATTATACTCTGGAGAATGTTAAAAAAAGATTTTCTTTTTATCTTTTCTCTCTCCTTCCATTTTCCCAGAAAACATCATATATCTGATCTGATCTCTCATGTGTATATGATATTGGGATACATCAGTCCAATGAGTCTAAATCCTAGGATTTTATTTTATTTCATTTTGAACTCAGGCAGAGCATATATCTTTCTGCTGGAATTGCCACTCTGGAGAATTAGGTAAACTTCAAGTTGTTGGGGACCACTATTTTGAAAGGCTTGTCTGTGAATGAAGTCTGCACAGAACAATGCAGAGCCCAAGAGAAGGCAAAAGGAGAGAGAGAAAGAGGCTTGATGACATCGTTTGGGCCCCTAGAGCCACAAGCATTATAAGTTGCTTTGCTACACAGGACAGTACAGTACATACTTTGCTATAAGATAGTCAGTGTTGAAGTCCTGTCTGATACCATCATCTTGTTTGGAATCATTTTTTATAAGAACTTGCATTTTTCTTATTAATTTCTTGGGTAGAGGACTAGTTTTGTGATAGTCTTGTAGTTCAAGTGATTCTCCTGCCTTAGCCTCCCGAGTAGCTGGGATTACAGTTGCATGCCACCATGCCTGGCTAATTTTTGTATATTTAGTAGAGATGGGGTTTCACCATGTTGGCCAGCCTGGTCTCGAACTCCTGACCTGGAGTGATCCTCCTGCCTTGGCCTACCAAAGTTCTGGGATTACAGGCATGAGCCACTGTGCCCAGCCTAGTCTGTGTTAACCATTTCAGATATTGAAAAATGAGACTACTTAAGACTTGGGATTGAATCAATCCAACCTTGAAAATGTTACAGTGCTGGCTATTGATTCTAGTTAGGTTGACTGAGAAAAATACTAAAATTCTACCAAGCCCCCTAGTTAAATCCATTTGCAGAGAATGAGAAAACTTGGAAGTGGAATACTTTTAAAGTTTAATTTCTTTTTATTAAAATCTGCAAAAGGAATTAATTTTAAATTTAATTTTTCTGTAAAACCTTACTAAGAAGGAGAGTTACAAATTGGAGGCATTTTTCTTAACTGACATTATTGTTGAGCTAAGCCACCATGTAGTACTAATTGAAAAACCTCTCCTAATGAACATGATTGAAAAGTGTGGATAGGCATACTTTGTAATTCATAATAAATTAGGGAGTGATATTTTAATCTAGTATATGCTGAAACCTTGGAGATAGCCTAATTAATGTCTGTTCTGATGCATTTTTTTGGCATAGACTAAATTGTCTGCCTCTCTTTACCCAGGAAGGTACAAAATAATCAGTTGTATGCATTGACAACTAGATGTAAGATGAAAAGAACAGAATTATCTTGATATACTTTAGGATCTTATATTCCAAAAACCGATCCTCACAAAAGCCTCAGAAAAGCCCCATGAAATGGGTAATTTTATTATTCTCAGCTTATGCATGAGGAAAGAGCATAGAAAGCCAAAATAATTTGTCCAAACACACCCAGCTAGGATTTGAACATAAGAGGTAGAGCTGAGGTTTGGGAACATACGTAATCTGGTCTCCAAATTGCTTGCTCCTCTAAAGGAAAAGGAGGTATTAATATGATGGAGTAGAGTATAAAGCATTCATTTGCGCATTCGTGGTATATTTTACCATGAAGTAGGGTACTGTGTCTTAGTTGTCTCTGATACACTGCAGCTGTGTCAGGAAATGGACACAGTCTGTCACTTGGAGATATCTGGGTTTCACACAGCCTGTCATGTATTTTCTCTCCCTCTGTCTTGGAGCTGAGTAATATTCTCAAGACTCTCTCTCTCTCTCTCTCTCTCTCTCTTCTCTCTCTCTGTCCACACCATCCATCTTTTATTTCTTTTTTTTTTTTTGCCACTGAGACACATATGGACATGCTTGTCTCATCCCAATATTAATATTTAAGAGCAAAGCAGGATCCCTTGCAAGCTTTAAGCTTAGAACCTGTGTAGACTCTGTGTATCAAGCCTTTACCAGCAATCTGCACTAATACCTGTTCAGATATGAATCAAAAGGTTATTTGATCTCCCTTTTCCTTGTGTTCTTTGTGTATAATCATTTGGAAACCAGGAGGTATGTCGTGAGTGATTTGGCAAAGCATGAATTAGGCACTCTATATTGTTTGGAGTTAATACTGTTACAGGTAGTTAGATAGTTAGACAGGCATGAGCAGGGAAGGAGAGGGCTCTCCCCCACCCACTAGGAATGTCAGGTGATGGTTTGGCAGTTATCGCATTTCCTCTCTAAAAGTGTTAAATTGGCAGCCAGCACCAGGGAGAGACTATTTCCTGATGGTCCACACCTGTTGCACTAAAGTGTTACATGAATCCAGACACCAGGGAGAAGTAACTTCCCAGGCATGTGCATTAAGATACAAAAATGGCGGAGTATGACCTTGTGGGGACACACCACTGGAAAAGGGAAGAAAGCCTCAGATGGGCATGTGTACAACTTCTGAAACACACTGCGCGTGCTCACCTCCCAAGGGTAAGGAGGGCACTGCGCATGCGAGCAGCTCATCCTAAGCGAAAATTCTCGGGAAGGGGGCCAGCGTATAAAGTCCTAGGATCAAGGTTAAACACCGCACTTGACCTTCAGGTGCCCGCTTGGGTCTCTTCCAAGCTACTTCCCTTTCTTTCCTGTTCTAAAGCCTTTTAAAATAAACTTCTACTCCTGCTCTAAAACTTGCGTTGGTCTCTTTTCCTGCCTTATGCTCCTTGGTCGAATTCTTTCTTCTGAGAAGGCAAGAACTGAGGTTGCTGCAGATCTGTACAGATTCACCACCCATAACTAGAATACTTTCCACCAGTAACAATACCATCAAATGGTATCAAAACACCACTTGATTTCTGTGTTTTTAACTTGCCTTACATTAATCAAGTCTTTATTGAAGACTTACAACACAACGTGAATAGTTGCATTCGTTGATCCTAGGACTCTGCCCCCAGCTGAATATGAAAAATATCTGAAAGTAGTTCTTGCACTTTACTATATGCATATTTTAAGATGACACAGTGAGGGGTCACTTATTATTTTTCCTTATCTTGCAACTATGCCATACGTGTTAATTAAACCACCATTTCAAAATATTGATTTTATTTTCTAATGTTCAGAGAGAAGGCTATTTGTTAGTCATTCAAAGATAACTAATTTATATATAATCAAAGATTTTATCAACCTGTAAAGTGAAATATGTAATAGACTTAAGAGTAGAAATAAAGAGAGTAAGTTATTTCTATTAGGTTTTAGAATAGAAATTAGAGTATGGTCTATTTATGTCAAATATATTAATAGCATCTATGTCAAACTGAGACTAATAGCATAAAGCTTATGTCCATGAGTCAAACAACCACCAAGAACACACCTGCAGTAAAACCTGGGTGTACTGATGCTTGCTGCAGCAAGGGAGACTATATACCACAGGAATTGTTGGGCATCTTAGTGCTATGTTTACATGTTTGTGTCACTTTCAAAATTCATGTTGAAACTTAATCTCCAATATAACAGTATTAAGAGGTAGGACCTTTTGGAAAGTGACTAAGTCATGAGAGCTTCACCTCATGAATGAATTAGTGCCCTTATAAAAAGGCTCAACGGAACTAGTGAGGTCCCTTTTGACCTTCTACCATCCCTGTCACATAAGGATGCAGCAAGAAGTGCATTTATGAAGCAAAGCAATCCTCACAAGACACCAAATCTACTGGCTCCTTGATCTTGGACTTTCTGACCTCCAGAACTACGAGAAACTTATATTATTTAAACATGACTCAGTCTCAAGTATTTTGTTAAAGTGTCACAAACACAAAGACATTCAGTAAGAATGATTTTAAAATAATTTATTGTAAGATTGGGGCTTGTGGTAGATGATCTGGGAGAATTCTAGGAAGAAAGAGTTCAAGGAAGAGGGTTTATCTCATTGGTGCTGTCACGAAGGAGTCATTCCATGAATGAATATCTTAAGAAATTTTATCTCTGAAGCCAAAGGAGTGAGGATAAAGCTATAATTGTTTTAAATTTTAAAAAGGCAGTCATTCGTCTTAGCTGGGAGAGGGAGGTTTTGGTAATTTTTTTGTGTTTACAGTGACCTAGTTTGTATCTGTGTTCAAACACAATTAGGATCTGGTTTTGTTTTTATCTCACTTTACCAGGTCAGAGTGGCCTTATCTGATGCTGGTGATCTCTGGGATTGTTTATATATTGTTTGCATTCAACAGAAGAACAACATGGCCTCAATGTGGGTGCCAGACCAGCTTTGGGTATCTTTCCTTCAAAGGATGACATACAATAAAAACATATATGGGATGATTACTATTTGCTTCCAAGAAAAATATTGAAGTTTGCTATTTCTTCATCTCAAGGTATGAGAAAACAAATGTTTGCATCAGAGTGGTAAAAGAGCTATAATAATTTCAAATTAACTAAATGTTCAATGGCCCTTTCCTTCAGAAAAGTAAATGCCTCTGATTTTGTACAACTATTCTTAAAGTCACACTTTTCTACTCCTTAGACCATATAGCATTCACAGCATTGTCTTAGGAAAATAATGAATATAACAGAAGGCTTGTGCAAAATGTAAAATATGCCATCTCTTTGAGGAATTGTGACTTTAGCAGTGTAATATACTAATATTCCAAAATTGTAGAGATACTTTTATTTTTGTAGTTTGTTTTTAAATCCCTAACTCTTCCTTCTGTGTATGGAAAAATCTAAAAGCTGTGATAATGAAATCAATTTCATCCAATACAACATGATTTATAATGCCTTCTGTACTTTGTATTAGTTGAGGACAAGGTCATGAATCAATGTAGATGAAGGTTTTATTTAACTTAAGCATCAGTGTTTTTCCTCTGTCAAAATTTTACTTATCAGGCTAATATTTGAAAAGCATTCTAAACTTTTTTCTGTTTCTCAAAACTTTAGCTGGAAATATTACTTCCCTGTGTTTGGTTGAGCAGAGTAGTAGGCAGTTCTTTGTTACTTAATACTGTTTTAACATTTCCTTCACTGCAATCCCTCTATTTTAATAGCTTTAACAAAGGTCACATTCAGATTAGCTCAAATCTATTAGAGTACACTATAATATGTTGGTTTTTCATTGAAAATTTATTTAGACATCCATCTAGGATTTTAGACCTTCAACCCAAGGAAAATTTATATGAATACAATATTTTTTGCCATTATTTACAAAAGTAATATAAAGGGTTCCTTAGGCAATTACTTATTCAGTAGTAGGATTTGGAACAGTCTACTTACTATCATGTAATTATTTCAATGTGTTACAGTTTTCTTCTGATTGTAATTAATCTCTTTGCATGAGTATCAGATAGAATGACTATCTGATTTGTGGTAACCTGCTGGACTCACAGTGTCCAGTCTGCAGGTGGAGAAAAATAAATATTTTTATAAGAAAAATGAAGCCTTCACCTTACCAGATAATTTTCACTTTGTCTAAAACAATACTTTTTTTATGTTTGATGTAATTTTTCACTCAATTATAAAGAGTTTTCTCTTCAACAGGAGAACCAAATCCTTAATAAAATCATTGAGTTTAAGAAGTCTCAAGGGAGAGATCACAGCTAATGTCTACTAGTTTACTAGAGGTCCAAAAACAGTACTATTCACTGGCAAATACTCAGAATATATTTTTGATTCGGTTAGAAGTGGTCTGAGTGGTTGTATGAACTTTATTTCTATTTCTACCCTCATCTCCAACAAATTCAGATGACTGTATATTAAATTTTATCTTATTAAACTTCAAATATTTTCCTGATTTGAAAGTAATTTTTGTCATCTCCTCATTTGAAGTCACATATAATTCATGATTAACTGTGAAAAAGTTTGAATTTGAATACTTTCCAGTCCCTTCTTCAGAGCACTTTTGAATGCTAGCCTCTTGATCACTGCAGCTGCAATTGTAAATATATACTGAGCTACCAGAATCACAGATAGCACAAACTCTTTATTTTTTAAGAACCTTAAAATTCATTATAATTTGCAGGTAAAACAATAGACTTAAGAGTAGAAATAAAGATAGCCATTTCTATTAGATTTTAGAATAGAAATTAGAGTATGGTCTATTTATGTCAAATAGATTATGTTGTTTATTGATTCATTACTGTTAACTAATTCTCCCCAAATATGCAAGAAAATTATCTTTAGAAATTTCTTGAAATAATTAAGGTATATTCATTATGAATGAACGCTCTTGCTATAACATTACCATTAAATTTTTACCAATGAAAAGGATTTATTGCAATGACGTGTTTTCTCATAAGTAATATTAGTAGAGGCCAAGATAACAGAGGAAGTGGGGACATGCATTCCAGTGTATAACAGAAGAAATTAAATGCTGAAAATATAGTTCTGTAGTAATGAAATAGAGTAATAAAAAATAAAATGTATTGGAAAATATGGGTGGATTACCAGAGAAAGTGTGAAATATTAACAAGTATTGAACAGGAAATAATATATGGGTAGTAAGTAAGGAGAAGATGTAAAGAGGTTTGGACAGGCATGGACGTGTAGGTTTGGTTTTACGTTAGTGCAGAACAGCATTAAAAGAACGTTTTATCCCCGTCAGCTACTTGGAACAGACTTCTATCTGCTGCAGTCCAGCCAATCCCTAATTTATTTTCCTGGTGTAATGGGAAGTTGGCTTCCTGCTTATATAGTCTAGCCTCCACTATGCTTGGGGCCACCTGAACTCCACCTACAGGTACAGCTATAACCCACCTGTCTGGTGATTTTGATTAAGGTGCATAGAAAATACAAATAATCCTGGATTCATTGACAGTTTAACATCAAATTGGCTTTATTGCTTTGTTGCTAGGACCCGGCTCATCTTGTAACCTAGTTCTGTTCAATAAATATGTTTGCCTTGTTCTTCATGACTTAGCTTAACCTTGTAACCTGTGTCCATGGATTGGTTTTTGTCTTATTCTTCATAATATTACTTTTCAGCTAAAAACAGAAAATCCAACTCACACTATTTAAACAGTAATAGAGATTTATTTGTTCCCATTACTGGAAGATTTGGGTTGAGTTTCAGAGATTGTTTGGTTCAACAGCTCAACAGTATCATTGGGGACATGGTGACTTTTTCTTTTCTTCCTTTTTTTCTTTTCTTTTTATTTTTTATTATACTTTAAGTTCTAGGATACATGTGCAGAACGTGCAGGTTCGTTACATAGGTATACGTGTGCCATGGTGGTTTGCTGCACCCATCAGCCTGTCATCTACTTAGATATTTCTCCTAATGCTACACCTCCCCTATCCCCCCACCCTCTGACAGGCCCTGGTGTGTGATGTTCCCCTCCCTGTGTCCATGTGTTCTCATGGTTCAACTCCCACTTATGAGTGAGAACATGTGGTGTTTGGTTTTCTGTTCCTGTGTTAGTTTGCTAAGAATGATGGTTTCCAGCTTCATCCATGTCCCTGCAAAGGACATGAACTCATTCTTTTTTATGGCTGCATAGTATTCCATGATGTATATGTGCTACATTTTCTTTATCCAGTCTATCATTCCACACATATGTTTATTGCAGCACTATTCACAATAGCAAAGACTTGAAACCAACCCAAATGCCTATCAATGATAGACTGGATTAAGAAAATGTAACATGGTTGCTTTTCTATCTCTATCCTATCTTCCCTGTGTGAGGTTAATTCTGGTTTAGTTAACTGCTAGCAATAGATACATCTTGAATTATTAGAGGATTTAAACAACAAAAATTAACTTCCCATTCACATCATCATCCAATGTGAATTTTCTGGTGGTAACAGCCTTCTAGGTCATCATTCAGGAACGCGGACTCTTCCCAACATGTAGTTACACTCTCTTATAAGTGCTCAGAGTTTTCCTCGTTCAGCTGGTGTACAGCAAAAGAGAGCATAGGGGAGGCATACCTTCTTGTTTTCACTTTGCCCAGAAGTGACAAAAACAGAATTTAGTTATATGGATATGTGCTATCCCTAGGTACAAAATGCATAGAAAATATCTTATAATGCCAGGCAAAACAGGAAACAGGTTTTGGTAAGTGTTTAGCATTCTCTGTTATGGTTGACTTCCCAGTAAAGGGAAAAATGGCATAGTACTTCCAGGATTCACATCTTATACCACATCTTTCTGAACTGGAGAGTGGGATTGTTTCTGGCAACAAAGCAAATGCAAATGAGAAAACCTCTTTCCCCAAATCCCCAGCATGCCTTCACTTGTCTCTTATTAGCACAAATGGAGTCTTACGTCAATTACTGGGCCAGATTCTTAAGGTAGGCCACAAAATTCTGGGTGTTGCTTCATTGGCACCAATCAATATAAAAATGGTCTGGACCACCCTTTTCTCAATCAACCCTCTTCCTGGAACTAGGGGTGTGTCAGCTTCACCTGAAGAACATTTACTGCATGCAGAAAGATACATTCCCATATTGTGTGTTGTTTAGCAAAGGAGAAGAAGGAACATATATTTAGTTGGAAACCAATGGTGTCCATGACAATGCATAAGTCTGTGTCTCTCTCTAGACTGAATTCTCTCTTAATCCCCAATCTCCTACCCTTGTGAATCTCCAAACCTCATGTGAGTTGAAATCAATCCCCAAGTTTCCAGTGTAAGCTGCTACATTTCAAAAGTTGTCTAAATTTCAGTGTGCTTTCAACTTCAAATTCTATCAATGCTATGCCCTACTGCCTGGGAAAATGTCTCATGTGTTCTGCTGATAGCATCTTTAGTCCAAGCTCTCACTCCCCTAACTCTGAAAAACCAAATTATTGTTTATCTTAATAGCATAGGCATTTCCTGGGTTTATTTTTTTTATGCCTAGTTTGGCCTGTCCGACCATCCTCTAGACTCCAGGACTGATATTCCACAGAAGCCAGGACTGTGGAGTGACAACCTTGTCTTATAACTTAAATAACTGAGATCTGATTATCTCCAATTTTGACAGGAAGTAGAGAGCAAGAAAAAAGAAGGTGGGAAAAGGAATAAAGGAATGGAATTGCTATGTAATGAAAGTACTTTCAATCATTTTTGAGTTCTTGCATATAGTGGGCAAGGCAATGATATAAGCCTTATTTTATTGATTTCTCATAAGAGCCCTATGTGATAGGTAACAAGTATTTGCTGTTTCACAGATGAGGAAATGAAAGTTGGAGAGGCTAAATATCTTTCTCAACATATTTAGACCATAAGTGTTGAGACCAGAATATAGGCCTGGACTGTATAACTATGACACAAAGAAAAACAAAGGTAGATTGAGACTGCAAAGTAAAATATGCCAACTTCTCAATTTTGTCTATGACTGGACCTTTTTACTTATTTAAAATCAAAGCTCTGTTTATTCATTTACTATTAATATTTCAGATACTTAATATTGCAAGGCACTGTACTAAGATGTGTGAGTGGATGCAAAGATGAATAATATATGGGGTGACCTCAAGAAACTTATCTAATATAGCAAGAGTGATAAATGGGATATTCCCATATTAAAATACACTAAATTGAATAAACAAAATATATTATTGATTACATATATAATTATATTAAAATATCTAAATAATGCCATGTGTATGCCAGTGGATCGATGGCCCACTTACAATGAGTATTGAGGAACTAAAAAGTAGGGAATCAGAGCATTGGGCATAGACTGCTTTACAAAGAATTTTTGCCGAGAAGACACTAGACCTAGGGATGGCATAAAGTTAAGGAGGAGTTATTGCATATTTTGTTATTATTATTATTTACAATTTGAGAAATTTAACAAGTGTAAGTTCAGGTGAAAGAACAAGGAAAGGGAAAGGCTGGAGATTAAACAGAAAAGGAAGAAAACCATGCAATTACTTTTCAATAGTTTTATGTAGACTTTCAGTAACCTATGGTTACTGGTTTCTAAATGTGTGCTTTCCATGTGTTTTTCTTGGCTGTTTGCTTTAATCTCTTTTGAATCTCAGGCTCAGAGGGCTGGGTGAATTAAACTTCTCAGTTCATGACACAGCATCATTATCATTGGGTCTATGCAAGGCTGTGTTCTTGCTTCATTTACTGATGCACTTATTTCTAATTTCATATCCCACTTCCAGTTCCGCACCTCTCCAATATTGCAATAGGCAACCATTAATCAATTTAATGTATTCATTTTTGTTTTATTGTGTTGCTGCAAGTTTTTATTATTGTTTTGTGTTTATATTTTGAAGTTATTAAAATGATGTTGTCTTGCCTATTTCATTTTATCTCTTATTGTCTTTGTCTCTTATTTTCCTTTCAGTATTATATCTTTAAAGTCATTCATGTTTCTATGTGCTATCCATTGATTCTGCCTGTGGCATTATACCCTCCAGTATGGATTCCTCCCATTTTACCTTCCACTCTCCGAGTGATGGAACCACAGAATGCCTCCAACACTCCACCACCACAAGTAATGCTGCAAAGGACATCGTCTTACATATCCCCTATCATTCACTGTGAGGATTTTCTTGTGATATGTAAATGTAGAGAAAAGTTTCTTGATTTCCTCAAGCAAATCTACTGGGACTGAGAAAACACTGAATATATAAATTAATTTGTGGATGATTGATATTTTATAATATTAAAACATCTCATCCAAGAGCATACGAATTCTCCACCTAACAACATGAAAATTTTCTCTAAAATATTTTTAAAAGGGAATATTTTGATTAACACTGCAATTGTTTAATACTAATTGTGTATTTGAATTCCACGTTTTTCTTGATCCAATTTTTGGTTGTTTTTATTTTTGGAGGAATTAATTCATGTTATTCAGTTTTCAGATTTGTAGGTGAATAGTAATTTCCATAGTCTTTTGCTATTCTTTTAATCTTTGCTGTCTCAATGATTTTCTATTTTCATTCTGTATTTTGTTTACTTGCATCTTTTTTTTCTTTTTACCTCTTTCTCTTTTTTCTTTCTTAATCAGATTTTCCAGACATCTTATTAATCTTTTTTAAAATTTAATGTGAAATTATGAATACTTTTACTGACTATTTCATCTTTTCTGCTCTCTTATCTTTTATTTTCCACCTTCTTCTTTCTTTGAGTTCACTTTCTTCTTCGATTTCCAACTTCTTGATTCGAATATTGAGCTCATTAATCTTTTCTCGCTTCTGATAAAGGTGTTTAAAGCTATCAAAATTTTTCCTTGTGTAGTTTTATCTGTTTCCCGCAAATCCTGACTTCATATATTTTTTGGAAGTCAATTATGTATCTATGTCTATATCTATCTAATTATGTGTCTATTATTTTTCATTATCCAGTTATAAATATCTATACATTTCCTTTATAATTTTCTAGGTTTGCCAAAGATTATTTAGTAATATGTAATTTCATTTTCAAAATATATGAGTTTTTCTTTGCTGTTATTTTTTATTTGTTCAAATTTCACTATGTTTTGGTGGCAGAAAAAAGCCTATGAAATACTGATACTTAAGAATTTATTTATTCTTCCTTTATGATCTCATGTATGACCTAGTTTTAAAAACATTTTGTGTATTCTGGAAAAGAATGTATATTTAATGTTTGTTAAGCCAAGGAGAATAGGTAGGTAGGTAGATATAGATAGACATAATAGCTCAATGTTTTTCATTGTATTCTTCAAATCTTCAATATCTGTATTTTTGGTCTACTTGTTCTACATGTTTCTGAGCAAAGTACTCTAGAAATGAATAACTATAATTGGTGATTTATCTCTTCCTTCCTGCTGTTTAGTTTGTTGTTTCCTTGATATATTTGGAATCCGTATTGTTAGACAGGCATATGATTATGATAGATATATTATTCTGCTCTATTGTGTCTTTTATAAGAAAAATGTTGTTATGTTATCTTTTTTTATTATACTTTAAGTTTTAGGGTGCATGTGCACAACGTGCAGGTTTGTTACACATGTATACATGTGCCATATTGGTGTGCTGCACCCATTAACTCGCCATTTAACATTAGGTATATCTCCTAATGCTATCCTTCCCCCCTCCCCCCACCCCACAACAGGCCCCAGTGTGTGATGTTCCCCTTCCTGTGTCCATGTGTTCTCATTGTTCAATTCCCACCTGTGAGTGAGAACATGTGGTGTATGTTTTTTTGTCCTTGCAATAGTTTGCTGAGAATGATGGTTTCCAGCTTCATCCATGTCCCTACAAAGGACATGAACTCATCCTTTTTTATGGCTGCATAGTATTCCATGGTGTATGTGTGCCACATTTTTTTACATGAAAATCTATTTTTGTCAGATATTGATAGTTTCCCCAGCTTTCTTTTAAGTTTATATTTACCTGGCATATTTCTCTCCATTCTTTCATTTTCATCATGTTTAGATGTTTTTAAATGGATCCCTAGTAAAAAAATATTAATGGATTCTATTTCTGAGTCTAGTCTGAAAGCCTAAATTACTACATCTTATTTTTCATCAGTATCAGGCAAATTTTATGATGAGAGTTTTATTTTTAAACTCTTAGGGAGAAATAAATCACAACCCTGACATCTGGAAGGGGAAGTGGTACAAAAGCAAAAGGTTGGACAATCTGTACATGTTTTCATCACTTTAGTGGGGATGTTTTTTTCTTTCTGGTAATTATTCCACCAGTACCATTATCCAATCTGAGATGTTGCTGCCAATTTCTAGTAATAAAGAGCAGGAAATAGTCATCCTAAGATAAGAAAAAAAAGATAATCAAAAGCAGAAAGTTAAAAAGATTTATCTTAATTCATTTTCTCATCAAAATATTCAGTAGCAATTTTCAGGCACTCACCATCCAAACACAAACCAATTTAGGGTAGTCATAAATCTCCTCCGTGGCTTCCCACACTGTTGTTAATTCTTAGAGTCCATGTTTCTTTCTTGCTTTTATAATCCTTTCAGGACTGACTGTATGAGAGAGAAAAAAGAATCATGCTTGTTCACGTTTTGGCAGATTCTAATGATTCATTTTAATGATTTTAGACAGAAAACTAGGTCAATAGGTCTTGGTGTTTTCTAGAATCTGGCATTGTGTAGGTATTGGCTGTAGGAAATTGCTAATTCCATAGCATTGACTGTATATTGTTATACAATTATTTGTCTTGTATCTGCCTTTCTTCTAGCCTGGTGCCATTGTTTTTATCATGTCTATTGTGTCTACCATAATTTTATCAGATACTGTGTGCAACATAAAGTGCTTGACTCAGCAATTTGTCATAGAAGGTAAATCAATACAGGCTGTTTAAATGCTTCAAATCTTCTGAGTTAGTTTATATAATTCAAATATTGCAATTTAATGTTTTTACTTAATATGGCTACAAAAAAGGAATGTACAATAGAGAGGCCTTTAAGTTAAATGACTTAAGAGAAATTATCTAGAAACAGTGAAATATTTTCTTTGCAGTGAAAAGGAAAGTGTATAGCAATGGAGAAAAGAAAATAACCATGACAAGGGAAAAATAATGAAAGTTGTTTTTACTCATGAAAGCTGGGAAAGTATATATGAGCTACATGTTTTTGAAGAATAGGAAAAAACATTCAGTGAATATTGTATAGCCCTAAATATAGAAATAAAATTTAAGAACCACCTCCTCTTCTGCCATTCTAAAGAGGAAAAAACGTTCATAAGGTAGGAACTTGGTAGAGTATAGATGGTAAAGAAATAGGAATTGCCAACCACAAATATCAATCACTGAATTAATGTTGAATTTTGAATTGTGTTTATTACATATGCTAATATACTTCTGTGACATTAATGATACAGAAATATGTTTGCAAAAATCACTAGGTTGAAAGTTATAGACATTGTAATAGATTGTTTCAAATAGTCCCAAATAAATCATACCCTTATAGTCCCTTCCCACACTGATTCTGGGCTGGTCTTATGACTTGTGCAGGCCAGTAGAATACTTCCTTGGCCAGAAGTAACATTGTATAAATTACAGGCTTAAATCTTGAAAGGACTTTTCAGCTCTTATTTTCACCCTCATGCTGTCTGAGACTCTACATCAGGGAGCCTGGGCAAGCCTCCTGAGGATAAGATAGAATTCCTGGAGATGAAAGACTATGAGGAGAAAGAGAAGTCCAGCCAACCCCCATTTATTCTAGCCTTCTCAGCTAAGGCACTGGACATGTGAGTGAGGCCATTTTGGACCCTCCAGCCCAGTCAAGACACCAGCTGATTGCCAACTCGAGAGTGAGCCCAGTTGACACCAGGAGGAAGCAGAGACAAGCAGCATGGCTGAGCCCAGTCTTGATCACAGGAAGATACAAATATTCATGATGTTGAGTTTTGTTTGTATGTTTGTTTTACAGCTTTATTGAGGTATAATGGGCGTAAGATACATTTCTCCCAGGTCAAAGGTATAATTTATATTTTAATATGAGGACACAATCATGAAATCCTTACCACAATTAAAATAATAAGCATAACCATCACCCATAAAAGTTTCTTTATGCCCCTTTGTACTCTTTTCTTCTTGCCCCTCCCCACATCATACCCTATCCTGGGTAAACCACTGATCTGTTTTCTGCTACTATAGACACATTTAACATTTTCTAAAGTTTTATTTAAGTGAAATCATATAGTGTGTGTTTGGCCTGACTTTTTTATTTTATTTTAAGTTCTGGGATACATGTGCAGAATGTGCGGGTTTGTTACATAGGTATACACATGCCATGGTGGTTTGCTGCACCCATCAGCCAGTCATCTACATTAGGTATTTCTCCTAATGCTGTCCCTCCCCTATCGCCCCCACCCCCCAACAGGCCCTGGTGTGTGATGTTCCCCTCCCTGTGTCCATGTGTTCTCATTGTTCAACTCCCACTTATGAGTGAGAACAAACAGTGTTTGGTTTTCTGTTCTTGTGTTAGTTTGCTGACAATGATGGTTTCCAGCTTCATCCATGTCCCTGCAAATGACATGAACTCATTCTTTTTATGGCTGCATAGTATTTCATGGTGTATATGTGCCACATTGTCTTTATCCAGTCTATCATTGATGCATTGATGGGCATTCCGGTTGGTTCCAAGTCTTTGCTGTTGTGAACAGTGCTGCAATAAACATACCTGTTCATGTGTCTTTATAGTAGAATGATTTATAATCCTTTGGGTATATACCCAGTAATGGGATTGGTTGGTCATATGGTATTTCTGGTTCTAGATCCTTGAGGAATCACCACACTGTCTTTCACAATGGTTGAACTAATTTACACTCCCACTAACAGTGTAAAAGCGTTCCTATTTCTCCACATCCAGCATTCCTGACTTGAATATGAACAGACACTTCTCAAAAGAAGACATTTACACAGCCAACAAATATATGAAAAAAAGCTCATCATCACTGATCATTAGAGACTTTTTTTCACTTAGCATAATCATTTTTAAACTTGTCCATATTGGGTATATCAGAAGATTACTTCTTTGTATTACTGACTAGCATTCCGTAATATGGATATACCACAATTTATTTATGCATTTACCTGTTAATGGACACTTGTATTGTTTACAATTTTTGACTATTACAATTAAAGCTGTTCTGAACATTCATGTACAACTTTTGTATAGACAGATGTTTCATTTCTCTTAAATAAATACCTGATGATAAAATGTCTGGGTTATGTGCTAGATATATGTTTGACTTGAACATTTTAAGAACTGCCAAACTGTTTTTAAGAGAGACTGCGCCACTTTACATTCCCACCAATCATGTATAAGAATTCCAGTTGTCCTATATCCTTGCCCACTACTGAGAGTCAGTCTTTTTAATTTTCCATATTCTAATATGTGTGTAGTAGTGTCTCACTATGGCTTTAATTAGCAATACTATAAAGACTAATAATATAATTAATTATTTAACCTGGGTTGTTAATTTCCTTATCATCGAGTTTTGAGGATTCTTTATACTATTTGTGCATATTTTCTTCCACTGTGTGATTTGTCTTTTTCATTTTTTAACAATGTCATTCAAAGAGTTCTTCATTTGGGTAAAGCTCAATCTATCATTTCTTTTCTTTTATAGATTATGCTCTTACAGTTGAATCTTTAAAAAATAGCCTAAACCAAGGTCGCAAATATTTTTCCTTTGTTTGCTTCTAAGAACTTTATTTTTTAAAAAACTTTTATGTTTAGGTTGTTCACTCATCTTGAATACATTTGTATTAGTTGTAATAAGATATGAATCAAGGTTCCTATTTTCACATATGGCTAACCAATTGTCCTAACACAATTTTTGAGAAAGGTTATCCTTTCCCCATTCAATTGCCTTGTCACCTTTCTCAAAAATCAATTAGGCATATATGTGTGAGTCTATTCATTGACCAATTGATTTATTTTGCCATCTTTGTGCCAATAGTACGCTGTCTTTATTAGTTTCTTTATGATAAATCTCAAAATTAGGTTTTAAGCCTCCAAATTTATTTTTTAAGGTCCTTATGGATTTTATACATTAAATTTATTTCTGCAAGAATTTTTAATCAGAATGTTGATTTCTATAAAAATAAAAGCAGTTCATATTTTTAAAAGGTGGCTGGAGATCACATTTAACCTATAGATTCAAAATTCTGAACAAGAATTTATGTACTTGTATTGTTTTAAACTTTTGCAATGAACTGAATATTTGTGCTACTTCAAAATCCATATATTGAAGTCCTAATCCTCAATATAATGGTATCTGGAAGTAGGATCAGGCCTTCAAGAGGTCATTAGGTTTAGAAGAGGTCATGAAGGCAGAGCCATCATGATGGATTAATGACCTTATAAAAAAAGGAACAGACCAGAGCCCTCTTTCTCTTCCCAGTGTGAGAATACAGCAAGAATGTGGCTGTCTGCAAATCATAGAGGGTCAGCAAACCAGGAACCAAATCAGCTAGCACCTTGGTGTTGGACTTCACAGCCTCCAGAACTGTAATAAATAGCTGCCTAGTCTATGATATTTGTTATAGTAGCCTGCACTGACTAAGGCATCTCTCTCTCTCTCTCTCTCTCTCTCGGTAATGTTTTATGGTTTTCAATTTACAGGTCTTGCATATTTTTGACAAGTTTATCATTAATGATTTCAAAATTTGATGCTATTTTAAATAGTACTTAAAATTTTAATTTCAGATTACTTATAGCATATAGCAAAATATTTTTAAAATATATTAATCTTGTATCATGCAAACTTGCTAATCTCACTACTATTTTTATAGATTCATTAGTATTTTCTACATAAACAATCAGATTATCTATAAATATAGCTTTACTTGGTCATTTACAATATGGACGTTTTTACATATTTTTATTGCCTTATGGCCCCAAATAAAATCTCTAGTACAATGTTGAATAGAAATAGTAATAGACATTTTTGTTTTGTTCCTGGTAAAGTTTTCAGTCTTTTCTCATTAAGGTTGAGACAGTTTCTTAGATTTCTTGTTTGTGGAAAGAGAGTCGTGTCAAATATGTTTTCTGTCTCAAATGAGATGATTGTATTTTGAGGGGGATTGAGGTTTGTGAACACAGTGAATGGATTACAGTGATTAATTATTAAATAGTAAATAAAATTTGTATTCCTGTAATAAGTCCCACCCAATCATCATGTTTTATCCTTTTTATAAACCATTGTGATAGATTTGTAAAATATTAAGACCTTTACTATCTGTTTTTGTGAGGTGTGTGGGTCCATGGCTTTCTTTCATTGTAATGTCTTTTTTTGATATCAGAGAAATGCTGAGCTCATGGAATGAGCTATGAAGTATTCTCTCTTCATAAATTTTCTGGAACAATTGGTATAGAGTTGGTATTATTTCTTCCTTAAATATTTGGTAGAATTAATAAATGAAGCCATCCAGACTTTTAGTTTCCTTTGTGATAAAGTTTTTAAATACAAATTCAATACCTAAATGTAAGGTCGTTTAGCTTAACTATTTAATCCTCATAAGCTTTGATAGTGCATGTCTATCAGTGAATTTCATCTAAGTAGTCAAATTTATTGTCATTAAGTTGTTTATAATGTTTCCTTGTTACTATTTAAACATCTATAAGATCTATAGTTATGTCACCTCTGACATTCCTGATATTGATTTTTACTTTATTTCTGGCCTTTCTGGCTGGACATTTATCAACTTCGTTGATGTTCTCAAAGGACCAGCTTTTTGTTTCATTGATTTTCTCTATTGTTTTACTGTGCTCTATTTTATTGATTTGCCCTATTTATTATTTACTCTCATGCTTACTTTGGATTTACTTTGATCTTCTTTTTCTGTTATTTTAAGATGAAAGCTGAATTCATTGATTTCAAATCTTTCTTCTTTTCTAATATAGGCATTTAGTTCTATAAATTTCTCTTTAAGAAGTGCTTTATCTGCATCCTACAAATTATTATATATTGTATTTTCATATTCTTCTAGATTACTTTCTAATTTCTGTTCCAATTTCTTCTTTGACTCATGTATTATTTGGAAGTGCCTTCTTTCATTTCCAAATATTTAGAAATTCTCTATACATCTTTTAAATTGATTTTTAGTTAAATTTTATTGTTGTTGTTTTAAGCCACTAAGTTTTTGGTGTTTTATGTAGCAATTAGATAATTGATAATAAATTGTCAGAAATATCTGAGTAAAGTGAGATACTGTATCAATCTGGGATTTGCAAAGAAGATAGGAAGACATTTAATACAATAAATTACATACATACTAAAACATTAGAAAGACTAGGAAAACAAAGGTCAGAAAAGGCATCACTAACTTCCAGGAAATCTGGAAATGGCAGGCAATGGCAAAGGAAATTATAAGAGTTTCAGAACACCACTGCAGACATGTCAGCTGCTTGCAGCACTGAAGCAAGTGATTGACAAAACATGTGAAGGCACTGGAAAAAACATCAGGTCTGTCTTTTGCCTGTACATTGGCTTACTGCTGCCAGAGCAAAATGGCTTTGATTCTACTTCACCTTCCAAATATTGTATGGTACCTTTCAGGGGTAGAATCTAAACAGAAAATAAATTCTTGGAAAAGTATCTTCCAGGCTTTCTGGATTCTGGAAAGACAAAAGGATAAGATAATTATTAAGCCCCAGTTGGCTAAATCCTAAAGCAAGATAAAGATTCACTATCTCTTGTCTTGTCAAAAATTTTCCTCCTGAGCCATTCTAGGGTGGTGCCCATCGCTGCTGAGAATGACCAGACCACAGCTGATAGAACATTTACAAACCACAGTTTTGTCTTCTCATGTCCCCCAGAGTACATCAGAGCATGTGTCCCAATCGAATTCCCTTCCTGGTGAATGTATATGCAAACCACATGCTGTGCAAGGACATATAGCATTCCGTATTTCAGAAAACAATAATACAATCAATGATAAGGCACTTCCATACATGTCACCTCCTTTGACTCTTACAATAATTATCAGTTTTGGTAAAAAAAAAAAAGCATTATTACTCCAAATTTGGAAACAGAGACTCAAAGAGATTAAGTAACATTCTAAAAGTCATGTGGCTAATGATTATCAGGAGGACAGATAGATATCAGATCTAATGCTAATCCAGTGCACGTGTTATTTTCAACTTTCTGATTGCTTATGTAAGGGAGTAGGATTAAATGGTAAAAGGTCAACTTCTAGTATTATATAATTTCATAATTTCCAGCAATAAGGCAACTGAGTGATACTGCTGAATGGGTGGTAATTGCCAGTCAGAGTGAATTGTGTTATTAGGTTACATGGGAGCTGCTCCCGTAACCAATATCATATAATTTAACTATTAAAGATTGTTTATACAAATATTAGCCAGGCATTGTGGCTCACGCCTGTACTCCCAGCTACATGGGAGGCTGAAGCACAAGAATTGCTTGAAACTGGGAAGTGGAGATCGCGCCACTGCACTCCCGCCTGGGTGACAGAGCGAGACACTGTCTCAAAAAAATAAATAAATAAATAAATAAAAGATTTGTATCATTGTTTACAGTGATATATCAGAAATATTCTACCACTCCCACAGTAGGCAATAATTTAGGCAGCACATTGATTTCAATGAAATTTTAACTTCTTCTTACCTTTACCATATTAGTATTGAGTTATATGTCTCCCATTGATAAAATGTACGATTCTATTACTTTTTTTTGAAGATTTAAAATGTCGCCAGATTATAGCTTTCAATGTATTTTTCCTTAGAGATGACTAACATAGCTGATTCCCCTCTAAAAATAAAGTGAATTTAAGTCATACTTTACAGCTGATAAAGTAAAAAGAAAAAAGTAATCAAGTGAAGCACTCTGAATTTAAGAGCAGTTTTAATGCAGTTCTGGTAATTCTGGGAGCTAAATTTATTTCTGAAATTGTTAGCTTAAAAAAGTCTTTACTTAGCCCAGGTTATCTAGAAAAGAATATCATTATAGGATTAGGAGTTAGGTTAAACACTCCCTATTGAAGGATTTTTTTCTTATGGTAACAAATAGTATGTTGTATTCTAAATGAAAAATAAAATGTGATGCCTTTGGTAAATGACTTAGTATCTGAAAATGAGTTTGAAATTAAATAATAAAAGATAAGTAGAATGATAATCTGTAATAATTAGATTCTTTTATAGAAACACACATTTTAAAGATTTCGCTATTAAAAATGGCCTCACATGTTAAGGCATAAAAAGATTAGCTTTATAAGACAAAAGTATCAAATCTTTCAACCAATTCTTTTTAGAAATCTAACATGGAAGTCATTATAAATAGTTATTCAGACTTTTTATTCTTATTTTCTGTGCAGTTAGGCTTGTGGCACATGCTACTTTTGGCAAAGTTTTTGGTCCTGAACCTTGGATTTGGGCCCTTAAATTTGTAATGACAGATAATGATCAAGTTAGGGTGCATAAATCTAGGTTTTAGAGATGATGCCAGCTCCTGTCATTACAAGAATTTCTACAAATTCTCAAGATACATGTAATTGAAGTTATTAATAGCTTCAAGCTGAAGTTGAGCTGACCTTCCAGGAGCCACCTCTTCTTTGTAAAAGATACAAGACCAAGCTCCTATGACTTTTTAACTACAAAGATCTGCTTTTCATTTATAATATAAAGGCATTGTTCTATAAGTATTTTTAAGAGTTCTTAACCTCAGTCAATGCTACAAAATATCTGTATTACGGTAAGAATAATGAGATTTTATAGGGGATTTTCTCATAGAATTTGCTTATAATACTGTGGAACTAAAAGGAATTTTGCAGAGTTTTTGCTCTGCTTCCTTCATTTGTTTGATTTTTAGTTTTCTAAAAGAAAGTAGTTTGAATGCCCAGGACAATTACATATAGACACTCACATACAAAATATTGCACAATTTCAAGTATTCATAGACCTCCCTTGAAAGTTAAGATTGGCCTGTAGATTCCAGGTAATGACTCTACTAGAGGTACTTCCAAATATACTGCTACCTATCAGAGCTGAACACAGGAAAATTTTTGGTTTCCCAGAAATTTACCTTTTTATATTTATCCTTGTTTTTCCCTTGCCATACTTTTCTCAATACTAATTTGGGTTATGGCACTGTATATGTGAACAATATCCTAAATCCTTCTTAAAAATAATTTTCTTAAATTTCATTTTAAATTAGGAGTTTCTTTGGTACAATTAAGGAAAATACGTCAATTGATTAATTTTTTGAAGTAGCAAATGTAGTGGTGGCATGTAGCAGTAGAAAATATATAGGTTTTAGCATAAATCAGATCTGATTTCAAATACTGTCTCTGTTACTTTCAAACATCTTTAGAAAATGTAGTAATCTCTGAAGTCAGTTTCTTAACCTCTAAATTGTGAAAATGACTTTACTAAATGTCTCTTATTTGCTATACATCATGCTAAGTTATTTGTATAAGATATGCATTGTCTAGTTCCTTTGAAAATCTATGAAAAGTTATTATTTATATCTTGCAGCTGTGAATATTGAAGCTCAGAATCATTAGTAAGCTTGCCCAAGATTAATACAGCTAATACTTGGTAGAGTAGAGATGGAAATCCAGGTCCAATTTAACTACAAAACTTCAAAATATACTGACTTGTGAATATTAAACATGTGAAAATCCAACTACAGTAATAGAATATATTAAAAATAATGAGCAAAACCCATAGCTAAGAAATTTAAGTTGTAAGTTCATAGAATCTCTGCTTTTAAGGTCAACCCTTTCTGATACTATTGCCACCACCACACTGCATTGATATAAGATGAAGATTAAGAGACAAACATTGTAGAAAATGTTATGAAAAAGGAAAACACACACACACACACACACCCCACATTCCATCTGCCGGTCTCCCTTTTTGGTAGGTGGCATGCTTTTCTTCTGAAAACCAATGTAGGAAGCCCAAGGAGAATGCCTTATAAGTGTGGAGTGCCTGTTAAATGAAGGAACTAAATTTGTTTCTTGGTTAGACGTCTATTTAGCCATCAGACTTCCTGCTCTCTGTGCTACCAAAGCTTTGGTAAAGAAAATTAGAGATGGAGGTTTTGTTATGATTTTCAGGCTGAGAGAAGAAAGAGATAAAGACAGTACCCTCTCAATGTTTGTTCCTGCAGCATCTGGTCTGGGACCTCACCAAATGGCTGGATAATAGGCAAAGCCATGGTTTTACAGGGGACCATAGGAGTGTGGGTCACAGATGTACATTTTTCAGAGGAATGCAATACAAGGCTGCCAGATAGGCTGATGTATGTGGTTTTATTTCACTAGAGAGCACCAATGTGCAGGTGAGCTGTGTGGGAGTGAGTCTTTCATGTACAGAGCCCTATAAGTCAATATCAAGTCCATAGAAAGTAGGCAGGTTGAGGAGTTTGCCAAATTAAAGAGAGGACAGGTTTTGCCATGGGCCATCATCTAAGAAGCCTGTCTCCCATACCCCTCCACCCAACTCCCACTTTTCTAGAAAGACACACACTAGGGAAAATGTAAGTTACTGATTTGGAAACCAGAACATTCACTCTTTCATCCCCTACCCCCACCACATACACATTTTCAAACCTCCACGCCACTAGAGTTTAACTTCCTGGAGGCTGGGGGGTAGGAAAACAATAGTGATTGTTTTAATAATAAATAGTGTTTTAATAATAAAAAGTGATAATAAAAAGCTCCATGAGCTTCAGCCATGGGGTAGGAGTTTTACACAATTATTTTAGTTTCAGTCATGGGGTCGGACTTCCAGATAGATGTGTTCCCCAAGTTTTTCAGTGATAAACCTGTAAGCAGTCGAAAGAATACACAATTAGTGCAGTCTTTAGAAAAAATAAAACCATTGTATATTTACATGTTAGTGTTGATGCTCCTCAATAAATTAACTACAAATTAGTTGATGTACATGAAGTGTTTGGGTGGTTGTCGTAATTAAATCTGAGTTGGTAACTAGCCACATATTCTTATTCCATTTCAATTTCTACTTAGGTCTCAGAACATAATTTGTTATGGAAACAAATAATTCTTCACATACAGAGTATGTGGAAAGTAATGAATTGACCTGTTGGTCAAGGTCCTGACTTGTTAAAAAACCAACCATTCAGAATGGTTGGTCGATCAGAGTCAAATGTCCTGACTTACAGGTATAGGTTCTCTAGTGGTCCTTCAACCATTTACAAAGGCAGAGAAGGTTTTGTAAAATATTTTTCTTTGGCATAGGCTGATCTCAAAAGACCATTTAAAAAAAGAAGTTATCAATCCTTTGATAAACTGCTGCATAGCTGAGCCAGAGGAATAAAAGTTGTTAGTATTTGATGATCTGAAAGGAGCTTGAGGGTAGGAAAATATTTCTAGCCTGGCAATATTAAAAAAACACTCAGTAATTTGAAAATTTCTATCACTGCCTCAAGCAACTTTAGACTCTCAAATGTATAATAAATATGTTTATTTCTGGGTTTAGAACAGATTATACAATAAATATTGGTAAGAACAAAGTATAAAAATCTCATTTGTAACTGAATAATTATAGAACCAATTTATGTGTCTTGGGTGAAAGTACGTCTAAAGAAACACCCTACTCTTTCACATGTCAAATTTTAATGTTATTTTAGAATCATGTACGTAATAAATACAGTACATGAAGTAGTCTTTTGTACTTGGGGATTAGGACTATCCTAATGTTTTTGAAATCTTTATAGCATAAAAAGTAGACATTTTATATTTGCTTACTCAAGTAAGAAAAGTCTTACTCTAAGCAGTGGATTTTTTTCTTGCAGTGGCACATTCTGCCATGTATGCATTTTTAATTTTTTTTTACAGAAACATAGTTTACCATGCTTAAAAATTATTATATCTAATATAAACAATTGTCAGATATGGTATTTAAATATAAATGTTGAAGAGGGATTTGGAAGCATAAAGGAAGAGAAAGATAAACAGGCCTATTAGTTGCCATATTGTAAAAAAAAAAACTCATATAGCTATTGTAACAGATTTTTAGGCTTAATGTTTTTCCTTTAGTATGATGAACTTCTCTTTAACGTGTATCTTACCTTTTTTTTTTAGCTTGAGTGGAGACAAGGCCTTTTTGGGCACAGCGCTAACTGCAGAAACTAGTTTGCCCAATGCGTACAGTCTGGAGCATGGGGAAGAAAAAACAGGAAAACTAATACTGTTTTGTGAATCTTCATGTAAAACTCTGACTTTTAAATTATTTTCATAAGATGAAATATTTGAATGGTCAGGAGGCAAAGAGGTTAAAAGATTAATTGTGAGGTGACTATGAGCTAGGACATATTCCCAACTGAAACCAAGAAAGACATAAAAACTAATAGTAAAACATGGCTTTTACTGTCAAAAATAAAGCAGAAGTTTCTTTCACGGATTCATTATATTGTGGGGCCCTAAACACACTCATAAAGTTGACCTATAATCGAATATTCAAACAGTTTCTTAACTGCTATCCTACCATCTGGAAATTAGTAAGAAATGAATAAAATAATTTATTATTAAAATTAAAAGCAACATCAGGAATGGCATGCTGGCAGGTAAAACGGCACCCAAGGAATATTTCAGAGTCAGCTCTGTACCAATAAAAGTATAATATTTGGTAAGAATTCTGATGATTAACCATATTATGGCATACATTTTCTTTCTCTTATAACCTTCTAATTTTTACTACTTCTCTAGAGATAAAGTGAAAGCTACTAGAATAATAATACTGACAAACTAAGATTGAATCCCATCAGGCAAATAATAAGTAATAGTTGATGGAGACACTGATGGGAACATAAAGAAAGCTTTTAGCAGAATAACGATGAACACTGGTTTTTTGTTTTAGAAATTATATAATAAGAACCATTTGACCATGATGATTCCACATGTGCCCAAGCTTCATTAAAACACTCTGTGAAAATGAGGTGATTTTAAAGACAAATAAGATTGTGATTAATAATTGTTCACATCCTTTTATTTTTTACATGGCTATTTCGACCCAAAACATTTGTTGTAATGCCCAGGTGGCATTAACTTGTATGGAACACTGTGCAATTCATTTATACATCCTTTCAATTAATATTTGTCATAAGCCTAAATGTGCAAGTTGCTAGGGTGCAAAATGAACTAAATAAATTCTTTGTTTAGTGAAGTTTACAGTCTAGTGGAGGTAAAGATCTCAAAACAAATTTTAAGAAATATATAACATATCAAATAATAAGTACAATCCAAGGAATAACAAAGCAGGATAAGGCTTCGAGATTGGTGACAGTGGAGGGGTGCTATTTCATGTAGAATGATCTGGGAAGTTCTCTTTGATATTATGACATTTGAGAAGAGACCCAAAGGAAGTGAGGACGTAAGCCAGTGGATATTTGGGTTACAGCGTGATGGACAGAGAGGAAGAGGAAGTTCAAGGTCTTGAGACAAGAGCATACTTGGCCTGTTGGAGTGACAAGAGGCCAGTGTAGCTGGAGCTGAGTAAGGGGGCAATGTAGAAAATGAATTCAGAGCAGTGAGGAGGGAAGAGCCTATTAAGAGGGAATGTGTAAGCCTCTGCAGGGAACTTGTCTTTTCCTGTTGAAGAGACAGTAAGCATTGGATGGTTTTGCAGAGAAGAGTGATGGGATCTACCACTTCTTAGAAGGATTACTCTAGCTGCTGGGCTGAGAATAAACAATATTTGCTCAAAGATAAAAGGTAAAAGACCCATGAATAGACTATTGCAACAGTCTCAGCAAGAAAAGACGGTGATTTGTTCATGGTGTGTAGTTGTAGCAGTGGAGGTAGAGAGAAGTGATAAAATATTGAATAGGTTTCCAAGGGTGAGCTGATAAAATATGCTGATAGATTAAATCAGCATATTTAATGCTAGCATGTAAATGACAGAGAAGATCAAGGATGAGTCTGAGACTTTTTGCCCAAAAACTGGAAGGATGAAATAGCCTTTCACTAAGATAGAAAAAGAGGATCAGCCTTTAGGGGTAGAACTGGAGATCAAACAGTTAGAATTTGGGCTTTTTAGGTTTGACATGCCTATTTAACATCCAAGAGAAAATGTAAATTAGACAGTGAAGTATAATGTAGAAACTAAATAGCAATAATGTAGAACACATTGTCAATTGATTATAGTTTACTTGAGAAGTTAAAAGTAAAAGCACAGTAAGGAATTCAGAAACACTACAATGCAATTAAAATGTATAATGAAATTAAATATGTAAGTGTTCAAAGAACTCTCTTAACTTCAATATACCTTCAAAATATCCCCCAAAAAATTAACGCTTAATTTGTATTTACAAAAAGAGCTCCATGGCTTGTAAGAGAAATCTGTATTACAAAAATATGAAAATTAGCCTCCCAAAATTACGGAGGTTAAATATTTCTGCTTAAAAATAAAAATGAAAATCGTATACCTTGCCTTGAAATCATTAGTTCACCAGCTTTTCTAACTTCTTATTTTCTTAAAAAGAGCTTACTTAAATGAATATGCTGCTTTGTAAGTTAATAGGGCATAAACCAAATTAAATCACCATGTCGGAAATTGTTCCCCTGTTTTAGCACACGCATAGGATTTTACCTGAAAATTTCCAGAATGTCAGATAGTCAGCTATACAAAATCCAACTGAGGGCAATTAAAGGAAAATATTTTTCTTTCCAACTTGAAAGAAACTAGTGTTAGAACAACCATGAAAGCCTGTTCAAAGTAATATTGAGCAATATTTGTAGAAAAGGGATACCAATTTTTTCCTTAAAATAAATATGGTAAAATAATTATGAGGATATCTGAGATGACTTTGCTACTGAAAAGGAAGAGGAATTTAAGAAAGAAGTATCAAGTTGCTGGGCCTTCGGACAAATAATCAGTTACAACAGAAAGTGCCAAGAACATGGAAACATGATTTTTTTAAATGAAGAATTGTATTTGGAGATAGGGTTAGAAAAAACAGATTAAAAATGGGGGTTAACTGCTTCCCAATGACTCTCCAAGGAGACAACCACCATCCCCAGCTACACAGCTTTCAGAGAGATTCTACCTTCTCTTAAGTAGTCCAGTGCAATTGCCGATACTGGTTTAACTACAGAAACTAATGTAAGTAATTGTAAGTGTGGTTCTCATTCACACTTGTATATATACATATGTTCCTTTCAGGGCTGCCTATAACTTACTTTCAGAAAGTCTTAGAAAGCAGGATAACACTAACTGGAAACAAATCTGTATTTATGGACATAAAATGTGACTCACCCTCTGCTCAGAGAAGCAAATCCCAACATGTTATACATAATGATTCATTTTAGGGCTCCCTTTACATAAATATCACCATATACTACTGGAACATAAGCATCTATTGAATCAGATGAACATAAATCTAAAATTATTTTGAATAGCCTAGTAAAATCTCTTTGTTTTATAGTCTATAAATGTCCCATTAATTACCAGGAAGGAATAGATGTATCTTTATGTATCTAGTAGATGAATATAATTAGCAAATTCTTGAGACCTGCAAAAAATGCTCTTGGAAAAATCTTCAAAAGTTACTGTTATGAGGGAATAAATGCCTGTACCCTTCCCATCACATCTTTATCAGGAACTAATCTAAGCAGAGTTGGGTACAATTTCAGCTGAAAATGGGAATATATATGATTTCTTATAATTATTTTATGACTTTACCTTGAGTTTGAGACATTTTTTTCTTGGCCCATTTTTATTTTTAATTTCTTAATTTTTAACTTTTGTTGGTACATAATAGGTGTATTATTTATGGGACACATAAGATATTTTGATACAAGTATACAATTCATCAATAATAAGATTAGGGTAAATAGGGTATCTGTCATCTCAAGCATGTATCCTTTTGTGTTACGAACAATCCAGTTATACTCTTTTAGTTATTTTTAAATGCACATAAATTATTGTTGACTGTAGTCACCCTGCTGAGCTATCAAATACTGGATCTTATTTATTCTATCTGTATATTTGTACCCATGAACTAGCCCCCAATTTTCCCCATCCCTGCCCCCGCTATCCTTCCCAGCCTCTGGTAACCATCATTCTACTCTCTATCTCCATGAATTCAATTTTGTAAAATTATAGCTACCACAGATAAGCGAGAATATGCAAAGTTTATCTTTCTATGCCTGGCTTATTTCACTTAAGAAAATGACTTCTATTTACATCTATGTTGTTGAAAATCACAGGATCTTATTCTTTTTTTGTGGCTGAATAGTTCTCAATTGCATATATGTATCAATTTCCTTTATCCATTCTTCAATTGATGGACATGTGGGTTGCTTTCAAATGTGGGCTATTGTGAATAGTGCTACAATAAACATGAGACTGAAGATATCTCTTTGATACACTGATTTCATTTCTTTTGTGTATTTATCTCTCAGTGAGATTGCTCGATCATATGGTAACTCTACTTTTAGTTTTTAGGGGAATCTCCAAACAGTTCTCCATAGTGGTTATAATAATTTATATTCCCACCAACAGTGTATGAGGGTTCCCTTTTCTCTGCATCATCGCTAGCATTCATTATTGCCTGTCTTCTAGATAACAGCCATTTTAACTGGGGTGGGGTGATATCTTACTGTAGTTTTAATTTGCATTTCTCTGATGATCAGTGATGTTGGGCACCTGTTTGTCATTTGTATGTTTTCTTTTGAGAAATGTCTATTCAGGTTTTTGCCCATTTTAAAATCATATTATTACATATTTTTCCTGTAGAATTGTTTGAGCTGCTATATATTTTGGTTAGTAAGCCCTTGTCAGATGGGTAGTTTGCAAATATTTCCCCCTAGTCTGTAGGTTGTCTCTTCACTTTGTTTATTGTTTCCTTTGCTGTGCAGAAGCTTTTCAACTCGATGTGATTCCATTTGTCCATTTTTGCTTTGGTTGCCTATGTTGTGGGATATTAGTCAAGAAATTTTTGCAGATTCCAATATCCTAGCGAATGTACCTAATGTTTTCTTTAAGTAGTTTCATAATTTGAGATATTATATTTCAGTCTTGAATTTATTTTTATTTAATTTTTGTATATGGTGCAAGATAGGGGTCTAGTTTTTTTCTTCTGCATATGCATAGCCAGTTTTCCCAGCATTTTAACCATTTATTGAAGAGATTGTCCTTTCACCAATGTATGTTCTTGGCACCTTTGTTGAAAATGAGTTTACTGTAGATGTATGGATTTGTTTCTGGGTTCTCCATTCTGTTCCATTGGTCTATGTGTCGATTTTTGTGCCAGTACCATGCTGCTTTGGTTACTATAGCTCTACAGTATAATTTGAAGTCAGATAATGTGATTACTCCAGTTTTGTTTTGTTTTTGTTTGTTTGTTTGTTTTTTGTTTTTACTTAGAATAGCTCTGGCTATTCTGGGCCTTTTGTGGCTCAATACAAATTTTAGAATTTTTTTTTCTATTTCAGTGAAGACTGTCATTGGTATTTTTATAGGGATTGCATTGAATTTGTAGATTGCTTTGAGTAGTATGAACATTTTTTAAAATATTGATTCTTCCAATGCACAAACATGGGATATTCTTGCATTTTTTTGTGAACTCTTCAATTCCTTGCACCAGTGTTTTATATTGTTATTATAGAGATCTCTCGCTTCTTTGGTTAAGTTAATTTTTAGGTATTTTATTTTATTTCTAGCTATTGTAAATGGGGTCACTTTTTTATTTCTTTTTCAGATTGTTCACTGTTGGCATATAGAAAATGCTACTGGTTTGTGTATCTTGATTTTGTAACCTGCAACTTTTTTGAATTTGTTTATCAGGTCTAATAGTTTTCTTGTGGAGTATTTAGGTTTTTCCAAATATAAAATCATATTATCTGCAAAGAAGGATAATTTTACCTCTTCCTTTCCAATTTGGACATCCTTTATTTCTTTCTTTTGTCTGATTGCTCTAACTAGAAGAACTATGTTGAATAACAGTGGGGAAAGTGAAAAGTTTTGTTGGGGTCCAGATCTTAGAAGAAAGGCTTTCAGTGGGTCCCCATTTAGTATGATACCAGTTGTGAATCTGTCATATACGGCTTTTGTTATATTGAGGTAGGTTCCTTCTATACCCAGATTTTGATGATTTTATCATGAAGGAGTGTTGAATTTTATCAAATTTTTTTCATAATCAATTGAAATGATCATACGGTTTTAGTCCTTCACTCTATTAGTATACCACATTGATTGCCTTGCATATATTAAACCATCCTTGTAACACAGGTATAAATATCATTTGGTTATAATAAATAGTCTTTTTAGTTTATTGTTGAATTTAGTTTGCTAGTATTTTATTGTGGATTTTGCATCAATATTCCTCAGAAATATTGGCTTGTAATTTTCTTTCTTCCTTTCTTTCTTTCTTTCTTTCTTTTTTTTTTTTTTTTTTTTTTTTGATGTGTCTGGTTTTGGTATCAGAGTTATACCGGTATTGTAGAGTTTGGAAATATTTCTTCCTCCTCTATTTCTCAGAAGAGTTTGAGTAGGATTGGTATTAGTTCTTCTTCAAATGTTTGGCAAATTTCAGGAGTGAAGCCATCGGGTCTTGGGTTTTTCTATGCTGGGAGAATTTTTATTATGGCTTTGATCTTATTAATTGTTATTGGTCTGTTCGGGTTTTGGATTTCTTCATGCTCTATTTTGGTAAATTATATGTGTCTAGAAATGCATCCATTTTTTCTAGAGTAATCAATTTATTGGAATATATCTGCCCATAGTAGACTCTAATATTTGCATTTCTGTGGTAATGGTTATAATATTTCTTTGTCATCTCAAATTTTAAATATTTGGGTCTTTCTTTTTTTTAGCAGTTAGTCTGGCTAAAGATTTGCCAGGTTTGTTTAACTTTTCAAAAAACCAACTTTTCATTTTGTTGATCTTTTGTATTGTTTTCTTAATTTTAAATTAATTTATTTCTGTTCTGATCTTAATTATTTCTTTTCTTCTACTAATTTGGGGTTTTGTTTGCTCTGGGTTTTCCAGTTCTTTAAGATGCATCATTAGGTTGTGTATTTGTTTTTCTTCTTTTCATATGTAAGATTAGAGCTATGAACTTTCCTCTTACTACTGCTTTTGCTGTATCACATAGGTTTTTGTATGTTGGGTTTCCATTATCATTTGTTTCAATAAATTTTTAAGTTTCCTTTAAATTTCTCTATTAACCCACCGATCATTCAGGAGTATATTGTTGTATTAGTTCATTTTCACGCTGCTGATAAAGACATACCTGAGACTGGGAAGAAAAGATGTTTAATTGGACTTACAGTTCCATATGGCTGGGGAGGCCTCAGAATCATGGTTGGAGGTGAAAGGCACTTCTTACATGGTGGTGGCAAGAGAAAAATGAGGAAGAAGCAAAAGAAGAAATCCCTGATAAACCCATCAGATCTCGTGAGACTTATTCACCATCACATAAATACCATGGGAAAGACCCACTCCCGTGATTCAATTACCTCCCCCTGGGTCCCTCCCACAATACATGGGAATTCTGGGAGATACAATTCAAAATGAGATTTGAATCCCAAACCATATCATTCCACCCCTGGCTGCTCCAAATCTCATGTCTTCACATTTCAAAACCAATCATGCCTTCCAAACAGTCCCCCAAAGTCTTAACTCATTTCAGCATTAACCCAAAAGTGCACAGTCCAAAGTCTCATCTGAGACAAGGCAAGTCCCTTCCACCTATGAGCCTGTAAAATCAAAAGCAAGCTAGTTACTGCCTAGATACAATGAGAGTACAGGAATTGGGTAAATACAGCCATTGAAAATGGGAGAAATTGGCCAAAACAAAGGGGTTACAGGGCCCATGCAAGTCCAAAATCCAGCAGGGCCATCAAATTTTAAAGCTCCAAAATGATATTTGACTTCAGGTCTCATATCCAGGTCACACTGATGCAACAGGTGGGTTCCCATGGTCTTGGGCAGCTCCACCCCTGTGCCTTTGCAGGGTACAGCCTCCCTCCTAGCTGCTTTCACAGGCTGGTGTTTAGCGTCTGTGGCTTTTCCAGACACGTGGTGCAAGCTGACAGTGGATCTATCATTCTGGGGTCTGGAGGACAGTAGTCTGATTCTCAAAGCCCCACTAGGCAGTGCCCCAGTAGGGACTCTGTGTGGGGGCTCCAACCCCACATTTCCCTTCTGCAGTTCCCTAGCAGAGGTTCTCCATGAGGGCCCTGCCCCTACAGCAAACTTTTGCCTGGGCATCCAGGCGTTTCAATACATCTTCTGAAATCTAGGCAGAGGTTCCCAAACCTCAATTCTTGACTTCTGTGCACCGCAGGCCTAACACTACATGGAAGCTTCCAAAGTTTGGGCTTCCACCTTCTGAAGCCACAGCCTAAGCTCTATGTTGGCCACTTACAGCCATGGCTGGAGTGGCTGGGACACAGGTCACCAAGTCCCTAGGCTGCATGGACCTGGGGCCCAGTACACGATACCACTTTTTCCTCCAGGGTTTTGGGCCTGTGATGGAAGGGGCTGCCATGAATGTCTCTGACATGGCCTGGAGACATTTTTCCCATGGTCTTGGGTATTAACATTAGGTACCTTGCTACTTATGCGAATTTCTGCAGCCAGCTTGAATTTCTCCTCAGAAAATGGGTTTTTCTTTTCTATCGCAGTCAGGCTGCAAATTTTCCAAACTTTCATGCTCTGCTTTTCTTATAAAACAGAATGCCTTTAACAGCACCCAAATTACCTCTTGAATGCTTTGCTGCTTAGAAATTTATTCCACCAGATACCCTAAATAATCTTTCTCAAGTTCAAAGTTTCACAAATCTCTAGGGCAGGGGCAAAATGCCTCCAGTCTCTTTGCTAAAATATAAAAAGAGTCACCTTTGCTCCAGTTCCCAACAAGTTCCTCATCTCCATCTGAGATCATGTCAGCCTGGACCTTATTGTCTACATTGCTATCAGCATTTTGGGCAAAGCCATTCAACAAGTCTCTAGGAAGTTCCAAGCTTTCCCACATTTTCCTCTTTTAAGCCATCCAAACTGTTCCAGCCTCTGCCTGTTACCCAGTTCCAAAGTCATTTCCACATTTGGGGTTATCTTTTCAGCAATGACCCAATCTGCTGGTACCAATTTACTGTATTAGTTTGTTTTCACGCTGCTGATAAAGACATAACTGAGACTGGGAAGAAAAAGAGGCTTAATTGGACTTACAGTTCCACATGGATGGAGAGGCCTCAGAATCATGGCGGGAGGTAAAAGACACTTCTTACATGGCAGTGGCAAGAGAAAAATGTGGAAGAAGCAAAAGCAGAAACCCCTGATAAATCTATGAGATCTCATGAGACTTATTCGCTATCATGAGAATAGCATGGAAAAGACCGGCCCCTATGATTCAATTACCTCCGCCTGGGTCCCTCCCACAACACATGAAAATTCTGGAAAATACAATTCAAGTTGAGATTTGAATGGAGACACAGCCAAACCATATCAATTGTTTAATTTCTATGTGTTTGTATAGTTTCCAAAATTCCTCTTGTTATTGATTCATGGTCTTACTCCATTGCGGTCAGAGGAGGTACTTAATATAATTTCAGTTCTTAAATTTTCCTAAGACTTGTTTTGTGGCCTAACATATGCTCTATCCTTGAGAATGATCTATGTGTTATGATGACAAGATTGTGTATTCTGCAGCCTTTGGATGTAATTACATATTAGGTCCGTTTGATCTAAAGTGCAGATTAAGTTCGATGTTTCTTTGTTGATTCTCTGTCTAGAAGATCTGTCCAATGTTGAAAGTGGGGTGTTGTATTATAAGCAGGATGCTGTTATTTTATTGGGGCCTATCTCTCCCTTTAGCTCTAAAAATATTTGCTTTATATATCTGGATACTCCAGTGTTGAGTGCATATATATTACAATGGTTATATACTCCTGCTGAGTTGCCATCTTTATTATTATATACTGAAATTTGTCTCTTTTTGTAGCTTTTTTCTTGAGATCTATTTTGTCAGATATAAGTATAGCTACTCCTGCTCTTTGATTTCCATTGACATGGAATATCTTTTTCCATTTTTTTTACTTTTTGTCTATCTGTGTCTTTATAAATGAAGTGTGTTTCTTGTTGGAAACAGATTGTTGAGTCTTGTTTTTTTTTTTCAATAAATTCAGTCACCCTATGTCTTTTGATTGAAGTGTTTAGTCTATTTATATTCAATGGTGTTAATGATAAGTAAGAGCTTACTCCTGCCATTTTGCTATTTTTGGAAGGTTGTTTTGTGGTCTTCTCTTCCTTCTTTACTTCCTTCCTGTCTTCTTTTTTACAAAGGTGATTTTCTCTGGTTGTAAGTTTTGATTTCTTGCTTTTTATTTTTTTGTATCTCTTGTGTGTTTTTTGATTTGAGGTTACCATAAGGCTTTCAAATCATGTCTTATAACCTATTATTTAAAACTTCTGACAACACTGATTATGTAAATTAACAAAGAGAAAACTAATGAAAACTCTACACTTTAATTCCTCCCCCGGCTTTTTAACTTTTTGTTGTTTCTATTTGTTGTATTGTACTTTCTATGTCTTGAAAAGTTGTTGTAGCTAATATTTTTGATTGGTTTATCTGTTAGTCTTTCTATTCAAGACATGAGTAGTTTACTTATCACAATTACAGTGTTACAATAATCTATGGGTTTTGGTGTACTTACTATTACCAGTGACTTTTATACCTTCAGATGATGCTGTATTGCTCATTAATGTTATTTTCTTTCAAATTGAGGTACTCCCTTTAGCACTTTTTGTAAGGCAGGTCTTGCATTGATGAAATCCCACAGCTTTTGTTTGCCTGGGAAAGACATTTTTTCTCATTCATGTTTGAAGAATATTTTCTCCAGATATATTATTCTAGGATAAAAACTTTTTTTCCTTCAGCACTTTAAATGTGGCATTCTACTCTCTCCTGGAATGTAAGGTTTCCACTGAGAATTCTGCGGCCAGATGTATTAAAGCTCCATTGTATGTTATTTATGCCTTTTCAATTGCTGCTTTTAGGATACTTTCTTTATCCTTAACCTTTAGGAGATTAATTATTAAATATCTTCAGGTAGTCTTGTGTGTATTAAATCTTCTTGGTGTCCTATAACCTCCTTATACTTAAATATTGATATCTTCCTCTAGGTTTGGGGAGTTCTGTGTTATTATCTTTTTCTATAAACTTTATACCCTGGACTCTCTCAACCTCCTTCAATAACTTTCAGGTTTGGCTTTTTGAGGCTATTTTCTAAATCTCGTATGTATGCATGCTTCATTCTTCTTTATTCTTTTTTTCTTTTGTCTCTTCCGTGTATTTTTTAAATAGCCTGTATTCAAACCTAATGATTGTTTTATCAAATCTATAATTAAGAGACTCTGATGCATTCTTCAATATGTCAATTGCAATTTTCAACTACAAAATTTCTGCTTGATTATTACTAATTTTTTAAATTTCTTGGTTAAATATATCTGATAGGATTCTGAATTTCTTCTCTGTGTTACCTTGACTTAATCTAAGTTTCCTCAACACAGCTATTTTAGACTGGGCACAGTAGCTCACGCCTATAATCCTAATACTTTGGGAGGCCGAGGTGGGCAAATAACCTGAGGTCAGGAGTTCGAGACCAGCCTGACCATCATGGAGAAACCCCATCTCTACCAAAAATATAAAATTATCCGGGTGTGGTGGCGGGCTCCTGTAATCCCAGCTACCTGGAAGGCTGAGGCAGGAGAATTGCTTGAACCCGGGAGGCAGAGGTTGCAGTGAGCCGGGATCACGCCATTGCACTCCGGCCTGGGCAACAAGAGCAAAACTCTATCTCAGAACAAAAACAAAAACAGCTATTTTGAATTATCTGTCTGAAAGGATCGATCCCTGGTTTCTTATTTCATTTGGCAAAGTCATGTTTTCTGGATGGTCTTGATGCTTGTTTTTCAGTGTCTGGGCATTGAAGAATTGGGTGTTTATTGTAGTTTTGCGGTCTGGCCTTATTTGTACTGGTCCTTCTTAGGAAGGCTTTCTGGCTGTTTAAAGGGACTTGAGTGTTATGATCTAACTTTTAGATCACTGCAGCCTTATCTTCTTTAAGGGACACCCCAAGGCCAGTAACACTGTGGCTGTTGCAGACTTGTAGAGGTACCACCTTTGTAATCTTAAATAAGATCCAGAAGAATTATCCAATTACCAGACAGACACAAGCACCCCTGTGGCAAACACCACTGGGACTGTGCTGGGTCAGACCTGAAGCCAGCACAGCACTTAATCTTGCCCAAGTCCTGCACTAACCACTGCTTGGCTACTGCCTATGTTTCCTCAAGGTCCTAGAGCTCTACAAACAGCAATGGGGAAGCTAGCAAGGACTGCATCCTTCCCTTCAGGGTGACAAGTTCCCTCTGGTCTGAGCAGGTCCAGAGATGCCATCCAGGAGCTAAGGCCATGAATCAGAAACCTTAGAAATCTACATGGTGCCCCATCTACTGTGGCTGAGCTGGCATCCAAATCACAAGACTAAGTCCTTCTCACTCTTCCCTCATTTTTTCCCAAGCAAAGGAGTATCTCCCTGTGTCCACCACCAACACAGTCCTATGGGGAGTACTACCTGGCTACCGCAACATTCATTCAAGGCCCAAGGGCTCTTTAGTCAGCTTGTGGTGAATGCTGCTAGGCCTGCCACTCTTCCTTCAGGGCAGTGGGCTTCCCTCTGATCCAGAGCAGGTTCAGCAATGCTGTCCACAACCCAAGGCCTGGGACCCAGGATCCTAAGAGCCCACTTGGTGATCTACCCAACTGTGGCTGAGCTGGTACCTGGGCTGGAAGACAAAGTCCCTTTTACTCTTCCCTCTCCCTTTCTCAAGCAGAAATAATCCCTCCTTCTAGCTGGGAATCTGATGGGTTACACCTGAAGCCAGAATGTCTCTGATTCTCACCCAAGGCCCAGGGTGAGTACTGCCTGGGTACCACTGCTAATTATTCAGGGGCCAGGGGCTCTTTAGTCAGCAGGCAATAAATTCTGCCAGGACTGCTTTATTCCCTTCAAGTCAGTAGGTTCCCTCCTGGACAGGGGTGTGTCTAGAAGCATTGTCCAGGAGTGAGGGACTGGAATGGGGCCTTAGGCATCTGCCTTCTGCTCGATCATATTGTGGTTAAGCTGTTGGCCAAGTTGCAAGACAAAGTCCTCTTTACTCTTCCCTCTTCTCTCCTCAAGTGGAGGGAAGGAATCTCTCCAAGAGCTGTGAGCTACTCTGCTTGGGGTTGGGGTAGGGATGGCACAAGGATTCCCTTGGCCACCCAGGCTGGTGCCTCACTTATTCACATGCTCCCCAAGTCCACAGGCTCTCAGTGTAGCACAGCACCAGGGATTGCATTCCTTGTTCCTTCAATTCCCTTTTAAGTTTCTTTAGAACTCCAGAGCCCTTTAGCCCATGGTGGCAAGGCTTGCCAGATCTCAGGTTCCAACAACTGAGATGAGTAATTTTCCTCTGGCTATGGATGGTCTAAATGCTTCGTTCATAGGCACTGGCTGAATTCTGCCCACTGTTGTTTTCCACTGTGATAGGAAGCACTGAATTTCAATATAAAGTCCGGCAGTCTCTGTGCTCTCCCTTTCCCAAGCATACAGATTTTTTCTCCATGTCATGTGGCAATGCTAGGGAATGGGGGGGTGGCATCGGTAAATCAAGACTGTCTTTTCTATCCTCTTCAGGGCCTCTTTTAATGATAACAGGTTGAAACATTGTACTGTAAGTCCTCACCTGATTTTTACATCTCATATGCTTTTTTGTGTGTGGATAGTTGCTCATTTGGGTGTTCCTGTAGGAAGGATGATCAATGAAAGCTATTTGGTCATCTTGCTCCACCTCCCAAAAAAAATGAGACATTTTTGCTAACTCTTAATATACTCTGAGTGTGCTGTCTTGGTCTCTGCCTTAACTGAGTAACATCATTAAAATCACTCTAGATGAGAATAGTATTTGTAGTTGAACCAGGATAGATAATCATTTTCACGTGTAAACATTTGGAAGCATTCCCACAATGTATTATAATCTGAAGATTGTTGCATATAGAAGTGTGATGCATGGAACATCACTAGGTGGTAAATAATAACACTGTTGAATATTTCCAGAATGGCTGGATTTGAAGGGTTGGCTTCAAATTGAGGGAAATGCTTATCTTTTCCAAATGACAATTTGATAGTGGAAAACTAAAAGGAGAGTAAGTGGGGAGCAGAAGAAAAAACAGGCATCTCCTACCTCTATCGCTACCCACAATAAACCTTTCACTGTAAGTATAATGGTGAACTCAAAAAACTTTCCAATACTTCAGTAACTGATCCAGTCATTTGAAGTGGCTGTGAATTATTTCAAGAAAGGAATGATGGTGTGTTAATCTGATCATGAGACATTATTCTTCTTGCATTGATGTACTTAAAAAGCATATTGGAAACAAACTTCTCTGCTTCAATAACACCATGCAGTAAAAAGAGAAAAAAACTTAACACACTTGAAAAGGCTACCTTTTGAAACCACACATGGCTTGTATAAGGATAAAAAAATCACTCTGAACGTATCATATCCTGTCATCCCAGGTGAACACCCATCTTCTCTTTTCCATTCTTTTCTATTGTTTACCTTAACTTGGAAGCCTCTAAATCTTTTAATTTTGAAACTCAAAACAAACAACACGTGGAGTTATTTTGTTTTGTAATGAGTAAGAGGAGAGTAAGAACTCTCCTGCTGATTAAAGTGAAAGCAAAAGGATCATGGAGAAAAGAATAGAAGCCTAGTGTTGTATTGGGGTGGTTTCAGTGACCAGGAGTCTTGAACAAGGGTGGAGAAATGAATTAATATCTGGCAGAGAAAATCGAGTGGTCTGGGAGAAATAAATATATAGAGATATTAAGATGAGGTAAACCCTCCAGTTCTGGGAAACAATCAGTGTTGTTGAGGATAAACCCATCACTCTTGGCTCTGTACGAAAACCTGAACTAGTTCTCTATCAATTGTCAGCTTTTTTTTTAAATTTACAGAACAAACCCCTATGTCCCATCTTTGTCTTCTCCTCTGTTGCCCCCCTTCCCACCCACAAGCTGGGCTCAAGCACAAGTGTTTTCCTTTTTCCTTTTATTTTTTTATTAATAGTGCAGATTTTGAGGGATACACTCCGCATACTTTACAGAAGAGTGGCAAAAACACAAGAAGCAACAGCAATGCCTCCCCGGTGAGCTATTGCTTCATGACTAGGTATAATACCTTTTTGGAAAAAAATGGTAATGCTGATTTCTCTGGAATGCATTTTTGTCGGCTATGTCTTCTTCATGGAGGAAAAAACTGAGAGGTAAGCTGGTTTTACAGCAACTTCTATTTCTTGAATAAGGCATTCACTTCTTCCAATTTTCTGAAGGAAATTATGATTTTCATTGTGTTTGTATGGAGTGTTATTATGTCTCTACAGCTGAATATAACAACTCAAATATCATTAAATAGAACACATGATCCAAAGTTAACCTTTCAGTGTCCCTTGTCACAAACAAAAGTAAACGACAGCATTAAACCCACACCACAGAGAACAATACTTATGGAAAACTCAACATACGCCAGGTACTGTACCAAGTGCTTTAAATGGATGCTCTCATTTAGTCCTGGTAATGACTACTGGAAGAGTACACCTTTACTTCCATTTTAAAGATAGGGAGACAAAAACCCAGAGAAGCTAAGGAATTTGTCAAAAGTTAACCACCGGCAAGTGGTGGAATTGAGATTTGAATAAAGGTATTATTTCAAAACCTTTGCTTTAAACCACTGCATTAAATTATTTTCAGTAAAGAAGTTGGCAAGATTTTGAATGTCAAGGAATTTTATGAAATTATACAAGACATAGAAAGTCTTGTATAATTTGTTGTCTGTTCAACAAATTTTTGTCTACTTTCATGATGGTGAAGTTATTCTCTCTTTATATTATCAAAAAGCCTTCTGGTTTTCATTTCACATTTATCATTTATAGCTACCTGGGATTTTTATTTTGTATAGTCAAGCTTTGTTTTTTCTATAAGACTGCTTAGTAAACCCAGTATCATTTCTTGAAAAAATCATTTATATTCCCTTATTGCATGTCCTTTTTTGTGTGTATTTGCTTCTATCATTTTTGAACACTTTACACTTTATACATGCCCAATTAAAAGGACTTATTGATTCATTTACTTAAAGAGTAAAATACTATAATATTTCACAACAAAATGTAGATGATCAGAAAAATCTTCATTTACTAGTCATTTCATGGCAAAATTGTTAAAGATAAATCAAAAAATTTTATTTTACAAAAAAAGTTGTTTCAATTTGCTTACTTTTTCTGTGATGACCACTGGCTGCCAGTGGTATACTCCAAGAAAGTATTTTTAATAAAATAACCAAACTTAATCTTACTCTTCAAAATGAAGTTGAATTTTAACAAAAATTAAGTAAGTAAATGCTTTTCAAAAACACAGGGATAGTAAATGGATACACACAGAAGGAAATACTTCACTTGTTATATAATTTTTCTGCTGAAATATGTCACAAAAATTCTTTAAAAAATTAAGAATGTAAACAGCTGGTAAAATAATTTTCTTTGTTTAAAAGTCTTATAAACAAAGAATTTTAGTAATTTTTTATTTCCATAGATTTTGGGGGAACAGGTGGTACTTGGTTACATGAGTAAGTTATTTAGTAGTGATTTGTGAGATTTTGGTGCACCCATCATCCAAGCACTATACACTGTACCCAATTTGTAGTCTTTTATCCCTTACCCCCTTTCCACTCTTTCCCCTTGAGTCCCCAAAGTCCACTATGTCATTCTTATGCCTTTGCATCCTCATAGCTTAGCTCCCGCTTATGAGTGAGAACATATGATGTTTGGTTTTCCATTCCTTAGTTACTTCACTTAGAATAATACTCTCCAATTCCATCCAGGTTGCTGTGAAAGCCATTAATTCATTCCTTTTTATGGCTGAGTAGTATCCCACCATGTATACATACCACAGTTTCTTTATCAACTCATTGATTGATGGGCATTTGGGTTGGTTCCACAGTTTTGCAATTGCAAATAAATTTCGAACCACTTGTTGTTTTAATTTGCAACAAGTGGTTCAAAAGGTATTTGCAATTGCAAAAATGTGGAACACCTGTCTACTTTCTTTTTATATATTTTATATATATATATTATTATACTTTAAGTTCTAGGGTACATGTGCACAACGTGCAGGTTTGTTACATATGTATACATGTGCCATGTTGGTGTGCTGCACCCATTAACTCGTCATTTACATTAGGTATATCTCCTAATGCTATCCCTTCCCCGTCCCCCCACCCCACAACAGGTCCCGGTGTGTGATGTTCCCCTTCCTGTGTCCAAGTGTCCTCATTGTTCAATTCCCAACTATGAGTGAGAACATGCGGTGTTTGGTTTTTTGTCCTTGTGATAGTTTGCTGAGAATGATGGTTTCCAGCTTCATCCATGTCCCTACAAAAGACATGAACTCATCATTTTTTATGGCTGCATTGTATTCCATGGTGTATATGTGCCACATTTTCTTAATCCAGTCTATCGTTGTTGGACATTTGGGTTGGTTCCAAGTCTTTGCTATTGTGAGTAGTGCCGCAGTAAACATACGTGTGCATATGTCTTGAAAGCTGAAACTGGATCCCTTCCTTACACCTTATACAAAAATTAATTCCAGGTGGATTTAAGACTTTAATGTTAGACCTAAAACCACAAAAACCCTAGAAGAAAACCTAGGCATTACCATTCAGGACATAGGCATGGGCAAGGACTTCATGTCTAAAACACAAAAAGCAATGGCAACAAAAGCCAAAATTGACAAATGGGATCTAATTAAGCTAAAGAGCTTCTGCATAGCAAAGGAAACTACCATCAGAGTGAACAGGCAACCTACAGAATGGGAGAAAATTTTTGCAATCTACTCATCTGACAAAGGGCTAATATCCATAATGAAAAGAACTCAAACAAATTTACAAGAAAAAAACTGACTACTTTCATGAATAACTGAGTAACATCAGAAAATACAAAATGAGTTATATAGTGGCTTAAAACAACACTCATTTATTAACTCACAGTTCTGTAAGTCAGAAGTTCAGCACAATATGCCTGGAATATCACAAAGCTGAAGATGTTGAGTGGACTGAGTTCTTATCTGGATGCTCTGGGGGAAAATCTGCTTCCAAGTTCATTCTGTTGGTGGTGTTTATAGGACTGAGGTCCCTGTTTCTTTGTTGGATGTGACCTGGGGGTTGTGCTCAGCTCCAGAGATAGCCTGAATTCCTTTCATATGGTCTCATCCCTCTTGAAGCCAGCAATGGTGCCATGAATTCTTTTCATGCTTTGAGTCTCGGACTTCCTCTTCAACCAGCCAGAGAAACTTCTGTGCTTCTTAAAGTGATGATGTGATTAAGTCATTCCCTTAAAATAATTTTCTTACTTTAAGATCAACTGATTTGGAATCTTATTACATTTGTAAAATTTCTTTACAGCAATGCCTAAACCAGTGTTGGATTGTATCAATTAGCTAGGAGTGGGAGGTACACTAAGGGCTAAGAATCTTAGGGGGCCATCTTCAAATCCTGCCTACCACAGGGGCAACAAGTTACCTCAAAATGTTGATTATTACAGAATATTGACTTCCTGTATGTAAGACAAGAAATAAATTTGATAGGGTAAATATAAAATGACTTATAAATTGTGAATGTTTCATTTATTACTCATCCAAATACTGCTGCTCCATCAATAGAATATCAAAAGGTGGGCAATTTAGTTGTCTTTGATTTTTGTGCCAATGTTTAATATTATAAAAATAATAATTTTATACATATGTTTAATTTTGTAATTATGAAGATACATTTGTCCAGAGAAGGATATTCGACTTAATAATTTGTTTTTCTAATTTATGACTTTTACATGTTTAAATTATGGTATAAGGGGAATCCTGGAAATTGGCCTGCTCTTCTCCCAATAAATAAGTCATGCTTTTTTTTTTTTTTAAGGCTAAGTGATTAAGGTGCTTAAATGTGGGACATTTATAGAACAAGACAATTTGTTCCCTGCTATCCTTTGATTCCCTTAGCTTACTTAAAGTGTCTCCAAGCCTGCTAAATAACAGATTTCTTATACACAAAGCATTCCTACAGCAACTCCTGGTGGATTTCTTCTAAGTGATACCCCTGAACCTACCTGTTCTGAACTACAGAATAAATAAAATGCTCCTGCTGAAAAATAGTTTTCCAACTAACTTCTCACCCTTTATATTCAACAATTCCATTGGTGCCACAGTAAGATATGGTCAAGGTCTTTGTACAGAACTATCTAGTTGAAGTAATTTTTTACTAGTTTATTGTACTGGCCCTTTTTTCTTCTAAGATTTCCTATTATTATTTTTTCCCAATGAAGCTTTACTTAGCAACATCTCAAGCATTGTCATGAAGTGATGTGAACTCGTTAAACAGTCTGAGAGAGCTTCTGCCACAAATTTACCTGAGGTAGCTTCCTTAAGCTATCTCTTTTTTTCCTCCCCCCATTACCTATCAGCAGCAGCAGTAATTGTGAGTTGCAGGGATGGGTTCGCTATATGTTCTTTACCATATACAAGTAACTCATCCATACAAGCCTTATAAACCATATATTAAATATTAAATGCACAATATTTAAGGTTATTTGTCAATGATAGTCCTATGTCCTCTATTTGAGACGTTAAAGTTATGGTATTTTGGTTAATTAAACTTCCAAAAATTATTAAGGAAACATGATCTGACCATTACAGATTCATATACGGCAGCAGAGGACTGAGTCAGGAAATCAAGAATGCATGTTTACCATAAAATTCAACAGCTTGGCCACTGCCTCTGATACATGCCTATAATTCCACTTAGTGATTATCACATGGCACTGTTTCCAAATATTGTCAGAAATCTTAAATTTCTGATTGCTGATTAGTTGCACACAAGGTCCAAGTCACAACTAATCCATAGCTAAACCTCTAGTATGTTTATCTTTTTCAACCACTCTCTAAAATTCTGCAAAGTGTTGGTGGCATTTTGCTTACTGTGAGACTTCAAAAACATCTCAACTCCCCTGTGGCTGGAATAGGTTGGCACTCAAACTAGAACCTTTTATGTCCAGTGTCCATTATATTAATAATGTTGCCTCAGATCAGTTAGATTTATTGTCTTCAGATACCCAGACCATGTTTTAAATAATTGTACTAAGATTTTCTATTTAACTAAGTCACATTACTGCCCAAATGAAGGCAAGTCCTAATCTTGATTACATTTTTAAAGTGTAATTATCTGGGAAAGAGAAAAGAAATAATAACAGAGATCTTATGTTTGTCCTGATGGCCACATGCTGAGAAGTTGGGAGGTATTTAAATTTAATATCCATTAGGAATTCACCAAGCAGGCCTGAACTTAGTGCAAGGATCTCTAATTTATGAAACTATCTTGAGGCTTCTGTGAGCAAATGTAGGTCTCTGTGCTCTCCTATCCCCTGGCAAGGGAGGGGTATGCACTTTTGTTTCATTATGCGTTACTTCCTAAATTGTAAGTTATCATTCTCTAAAAGTCTGTAACACCAAGAAATAATATCGCAGCACATGGAGAGAATAAGCAATTGGATTTCCTTTTCTCACAGGTATGGTCATGACTTAGGTACACGTGGGGACTGAATTAAGATTGAATGCGTTGTATTTTAAGTCAGAGAAACATGATGAAAACAAAAAGCATGCAGTTGTGTTCACTAAATTATCTTTCATTTTGGTTAGTAAAGGAAAAAATATTGAAGATTGTTATGTTAAAGAGACTGAAAACAAAGGGCAAGACTCTGCCTCAGCTCTCTCTGCCTGATGACAGGACATCAGTCCTTGCTTATTGGAGACAGCACTTGCTTATCAGCCCAGGGAAGGCACCAGCAGACACCAGAGGAACTTGGGAATGGATTTTACTATCTCCCCACATTTTCCCACCATTTAAAAGACTGAAACTTCTCTCTCTTTTTTCTCTACATAGGATTTATGGCTCTTTGTTAAAATACTATTAAATTCAAGCAAGGTCCCTGAGCCACAGCTTTGAGAGAGAAATACTTTTGAACTGAGGCCTCTCCTGTGTGATAGAACAGCACATGTTAATAAGCTTATGCTTATTTTTCTTTTGTTAATCTGACTTTTATTTTCAGGAACATGTCTGAACTAAGAATCTTAATAGGAAAGGGAACGAAATTGTTTCCTTCCCTATACTAGCTAAATATTGGGATATGCCATTACCAAATGTTACAATAATGGCTTACATTTCACTGTGTACCTTAGCAATAGAGGAAAAAGAAGAGAAAAGGAAAATCATAGTTTTTTTTTTTTTTTTTTTTTTTTTTTTTAAATGGAGTCTCCCTCTGTTGCCCAGGCTGGAGTGTAGTGGCGTAATCTCAGCTCACAGCAACCTCCGCCTCCCGGGTTCAAGCGATTCTCCTGCCTCAGTCTCCAGAGTATCTTGGACTACAGGTGTGCCCCACCACTTTTGGCTAATTTTTGTATTTTTAATAGAGACGAAGTTTCACCTTGTTGGCCAGGCTGTTCTCAAACTCCTGACCTCAAGTGATCCACCCGCCTTGGCCTCCCAAAATGCTGAGATTACAGGCGTGAGCCACTGTGCCCAGCTGGAAAATCATACTATTCATCAACACAATTCAATGAAACTTTCTGAGATAATGAAAATGTTTAATATCTACACTATCCGATATGTTAGTCACTAGCCATGTGTAACTATTCAGCACTTGAACTGTGGCTAACTTGATTGAGAAATAAACTTGTAATAAATTTAAATTTATGTTTTTAAAATAGTTTTTATTGTGTGTATTGTGTGTATTCTATAACATGTTATAGAATACATATAGATAGTAAAAGTTACTGCGGTGAGGCAAATTAACATGTCCTTCACCTCACAGTAACCCTTTTGTGTGTGTGTGTAGCAAGAGCAGCTAAAACCTACTCATTTAGCATGAGTCCCATATACAGTACAGTTGTATTACCTATAGTCTTCATATTGTATGTTAGATGGCCACATACAGATAGTGGCTACTGTATTTAGACAGCAGAACTATAGACACAGAAACAGCAACACTCTATTTTGAAATTGAGTTCAGAAGGATACATACTCAGAAATGCCAAAACTTTGGGGTTGATTAATGTCAAACTCTTACCCTATTTTCTGACTCCCAGGAGATAACTAACACTTGTGTTGCAACTTCAAAATTGTCCTTCGATTTATTCTAGTTAATGACTAATAGTACTCTAGCTGTACTTCCCTAATGGATTTTAAAAGCTCCCAGAGAGAAGTATGATCTTAAAATGTACCCTTAATGTATGGTGGCCCACCTTAGACATTTAAATATTTATTACTACAATTTTCTTGGGAAGAACATGCTGTATATCTTTAATAGATAAGGATAACTTAGACCAGCAAAGTATCTAAATGTGAATATTATAAAGATAGGAAAAGAGTTTACAGTACAGGCTGCACATTCTCTCACTCTGAAGGCCTTGTGTGTATATGCATGTGTATATGGTTAATAACTGTGTGAATCTCAGGCAGGAGACACTTTTGAGGGAACCACAAATCTTTGTCTTTTATGTAGCTTTGGCAAAACTAGGTGACTGTATTGGTGCTTAAAGTGACCACTAAAAAATCAAGAGCTTTATGGCAACCTAGGACTCCTGAAATGATATGAACAACTCAGAAAATCACAATAAATATAATTAATAAAATAGTAGATAACATCTATTTATTTTAATTTGAATTGTAACTCATCACCTCTCCTACTAAGGCTCATCTTTCTGTGCAGTTAGGTTAAAAAAAAAAGTTGTGTTTTATTTTGCTCAGTTAAACCAAGTGGCAGGTACTTCTCTGCACTGCCTCTTCTCTCTACAGCTCTTGGTGCTGCCTGGGGCTGCCACTCACTCTGTGATTACCCCCAGAATCCCAATGCCACTGTTGTTTCATTATCGTGTTGCAATTGTCATAGAGGGGAAGTCTCAGTTCTCTCTTCCATAATTTCCTATGCCACCACCCAAAAACAAAGGGTTATGGAGTCAGTGAAGGTTTCATGATAATTAGAGAAATTTCAGGCTGAAATAATAGTGTGGGAGATGATCAGGAAACCGAAGACTAAATGCTAATGTTCGAGAAAAAGAGGAAAAACTTCAGAAAAATCCTGCATGGACTGCTTCGAGTTGCTAGTCTGTTTTCATCTGGAATACAATCCCCAAAAATCCTTTCTAGAGAAGGTATCCCATTTCAATCTTTCATCCCTAACCTTGAGGTTGGTGTCAGGCTCCAAATCTTGCTTTCTCTCCCCAAATAGGGGAACTCTCAGGTGCAAATAACCTATAAGGTCACATTGATTTCCCAAAGACCAAAACATTCAGAAAAATCTAGGCTGGCTTTTCATGCCCCAAATCAGATTTTCTTTGTGATTCTACATTTGCTGTCTGGGATGGACCCCATTATTTTACTGGGTTGCTCCTGCCACTAGTTTCTCAAGTGAAAACAAAAAGCAAGTCTCTGCATTAGACATCTGTTCTGGTAGCTCTAAAGCTTGGTTGTCTGTGATCTCCTCAGATCAGTGGAGAATGATAAAGAGCTATGGGACAACAAAGAAACAAATGGTCAGACAACAATAAAAAGTGACACATCATACAAGAAAAACAAATAGGAAAAATTAGAACAACATAGATGTCTGGTACAATTTGGTAAAAAAGCAAGATACACCTTACACAAATGTTAAATGAAGGATGGGGTTAGGAGGAGAAGAGATTTTTCCATATTATACTCCACAAATGATGTAAAGTCATGACCTGTATCATCAAGTAGAAATTTCATTATTATATTTAACATTTTTTATTAAATCAGGGAAAGATAATAAACTAGGAAGCTACTTATATATTTTTAAATATTTGTGAAAAGGTGCTCTAAATTATATTCTTATCCTTCATTTAACTTCTGGTTGATTTCATTGTTTCTGAATCAACTTAATTTATGTTATTATATTACAATATCAGCTAAGTAACTTCAGAACTAAGATGTTGTCTTTTTCCTTACTCTGGCTTATGCTGACATTCAATTATGTAATAGCATAAAAGTGAACCTTTTGAGAAGAAAGATTCACTTATTTTTCTTGAGATATATTTGGCTAATAAACCACTATTTAGTAAATATTAAACACCTCCCTAAATAATTAAATGATTAAACTATTGTTATATTGATTACTATTATATTAATAATTATTATTGTTTATTGTTATAAATTACTAAATACTGTTTTGTTGGGGGCACCTTTGGTAGCTTAATATATTTTTATCAAGTCGATTTTCATTTAATTTTGTAGTTGGGTCCTCCAGTTCTGGACTTCACTGGCATCACAAACCTGTCATCTCATTTATCACTCTCTCAGCCTGCTCTAGACTAGACATATCATTGAAATGGAAAACAGCTATTGACTCTAAAGTCTTCTGGTTTATTACGAAACAGACTACTATCTGTATCTTTATCCTGTCCCTAATTATCTGAGATGGAAACTACAGTTAGCCTTTGAACAACATGGGTTTGAACCGCTTGGAGCCACTTATATACAGATTTTCTTCTGCCCCTAGTACGCCTGAGAGAGCAAGACCAACTCAACCCCTCTCCTTCCTCCTCCTCCTCCTTCTCTGTCTACTCAATCTGAAGAAACAAGGATGAAGATTTTTATGATGATCCACTTCCACTTAGTAAATATATTTTTTCTTCCTTGTGGTTTTCTTATAACATTTTCTTTTCTCTAGCTTATTTTAGTGTAAGAATACAGTATATAATACACTATGCATAACATATAAAATAGGTGTTAATCTTCTGCTTATGTTATTGGTAAGGCTTCCAGTCAACAATAAACTATTAATATTTAAGGTGTGGTGCAATCAAAAGTTATATGTGGAGCTGGTGTCTAACATCTGTCATCTCAGCAATTTGGGTGGCCAAGGGAAGGAGGATCGCTTGAGGCCAAGAGTTCAAAACCAGCCTGGGCAGCATAGTAAGATCCCCATCTCTACCAAAAATTTGAAAATAAAAATTAGCTAGGTGTGGTGGCCTATAGTCCTGGCTGAGAGGCTACAGACAGGAGGATCACTTGAGGGAGTTCAAGGCTGCAGTGAGATAAGATCACGCCACTGCACTCCAGCCTGAACAACAAAGTGAAACCCAAGATATATGTGAATTTTCAATTGCCCAAGAAGTCGTTGTTCCTATTCTCTACATTATTCAAGGATCAACTGTATTTAGTTTCTCTTTGTCCTCATTTGCTCAACAGGAAAATTAGAAAAATTTCCTCTCTTAATTTCAATGTTGATGTGAAAATGTATTTTAAAGAGCAGTATTTGAAATTGATTAAAGCCAGATTATTGTTTTTATTATTTTGAATGCTTATAAGAATATGGCTGTTGCCTAATGAGAAAATTTTTTTTAATTATTTTCTTACACAACTCTTCTCTCATAAAAGAAGGACAAAAATATGGCTTCAGAATCCCGATTGATGGCTTGGAATTTATTATCTTATAAAAATCCTGAGGTAACCTATAGTGATGTTATCAGAATTTCTTAACCCATATGAACTCTAGTGGAAAAAAACAATTTCCCACCTACATCACACAAATAAGTTTTCCTGATTCTGCTTTCTGGCATACATGTTTGAAAAGGGGCATAGTAAAAATCTTGAGCGATAGAGAATTAAGATTTGATGATGATTCTATCACAAATAATAACCAATTCAACAGTTTCATTGAGTGCCAGATACTGCTAAATGCTCTAGAGGATACTATCATGAGTGAGGCAAGACATATTGATGTAAAACTAACATTAGGATAATGTTAAACAGTAACCTGGGGCATGGTGCAGTGGCTCATGCCTATAATCCCAGCAATTTGGGAGGCCAATGCCAGAGGATTGCTTGAGCCCAGGAGTTTAAGGCCAGCCTGGGCTCCGTAGGGAGACCCCGTATCTACAAAAATAAACAATTAGTCGGGTGTGGTGGTGTACGCCTGTGGTCCCAGCTACTTGGAAGGCTGAGTCAGGAGAATCGCTTGGGTGAGGTCAAGGCTGCAACGAGCCATGATCGTGCCACTGCACTCCAGCCTGGGTGACAGAGCAAAAGCCTGTCTCAAAACAACAAAACATGTGAAAGGGATTGAGTTGTTAATTCTTCTGGAGAGTATTGAGGAAGACTTTGCATTAAAAGAATGTGAGATCTGAGTCTTGAAGATGAGTTGAATTTTGAAAGAAGAGTAACAATAAAGGGTTTTCTAGTTCTATATATTCTATATAATATGTATATATAACATGTATATATTTTTGTTGCTTGTATATATGCAAAGGAATGAAAATAGCATCTTCATGGAACAATGAGAAATTTAGTGGTTTGAAAATTCAGCAGGCTTATGAAGAACATTTGTGGGGAATAGATTGAAAAAGTAGACTTAGGGTTCAGATTGTGGGATTATTCTGAATGTCATATTACTTTTGGACTTTATTTTATGGGTCATGAAAAAATACTGACATTTTTAAGTATGAGGACAAGATTTGTGGGTGACAAGCAGTTTGTCTTTCAGCAGTTCAGTCAACGACTGACTGGGTAAGGACGGGGTAAGGAGATGAGGATAATCTAAAAAGAGACAGACTGAGCTGGTTGCTCTGTTAATAAGGAGAAGAGGAAATATAATTAAGAGGGTTTCAGAAAAGTGATCAGTACAACTTGTTGAAATACTGTACATAAGAGAAAAAAGAATCACAGATAACTGTGGGACATGATAGACTAGATATCTTGGGTAAATGGTGATGTCATTTAGTGAGATAAAAAACTAGCAGGAGGAACACATTGGCAAGAGTTATTAAGTAGTGTTCTGTTCAGGTGTAGTTATCTAGTAGAAAGTGACTTTTTAAAAATGGAACTGTTCTGGGTGCTGAAAAATCTATGGTATAGCTCTATGACTGGATTTCTGAAGCATAGTAGAGACGTAGGTTTCAGAGTAAAGATATAAATAGTAAATTCATTAATTTTTATAAGGTAATATCAAGGTGTTAGCTGGAAATAGAGTAACATTTTTTTCCTGGACAATAATTTTTTAAAATTTCACCCTCAAATCACACCCTCTAAATTGGTGGTTCTCATAGCACGGTCATTAGAGCAGCAGCAATTTGGAAGTTGTTAAAAATATAACATATTATACCCCAACCATTACCTAATACATTAGAAACTGGACATCGAGGTCCCAAATCTGTGTTTTCACAAGCTCATCAAGTGATTCTGATTCATACTTGGTGGCACATTGTAATCACCTGGGAACTTTAAAAATACAGTGATGGCTGGACTCACCTCCAATAATTCTGATGTAATCAGGTGTATGGCCTAGGCATCAGGACTGGAAATTTCAGAAGTTTCCCAAGGTAATTGTAATGTGCAAATAGGGCTAGAACCACTGCATTAAAGATTAACAACAAAAAAACAAAATCAAGAGGATTATTTCTCAAACGTTAAAGTGAAAAACCAAAGGGACATTTCTGTTTGTCAAATAAGTTTTATTTTGTGTTTAATTGGCTTGTAATAATTGTATGACTTATGGGGTACACTGTGATGTTTATATATATGTGTATGTGTATATATATATAAACATATATATACATTGTATCAGGGTAGTAAGCAATATCCGTCACCTCAGCCTCTTGTCATTTCTTTGTTGTGAGAACACTCAAAGTCATCTCTTTTAGCTATTTTAAAGTATACAATACATTACTTTTTTATTGTTATCACTCTACTGTGCAATAGAACACCAGAACTTATTCCTTCTATCTAACTGTAATTTTGTTTTAACTAATTTATTTCTATACCCTCACTCTGCACTCTCCCCAGTCCCTGGTAACCACTATTCTACTCTCTACTCCTATGACATCAAGTGTTTTAGATTCCACATATGAATGAGATCGTGCACTATTTATCCTTCTTTGTTTGCCTTATTTCACTTAACATAATGTCCTCTAGGTCCCCCATGTTTTTGTAAATGACAAGATTTTGTTATTTTTGTGGCTGAATAGTATCCCATCGTGTATCACATTTATTTAACACATTCATCTGTTGAGAAACACTTAGGTTGATTCCATATCTTGGGATTGTAAATAGCAGTGCAATAAACATGAAAATGCAGATGTCTTTTTGACATACTAATTCCATTTCCGTTGGCTATATACCCAGTAGTAAAATTATTGGATCATATGGTAGCTTCATTTTAAATTTTTTGAGGAACCTTTATACTGTTGTCCATAATGGCTATACTCCTTTACACCTCCATCAACACTGTGTAGGAGTTCTCCTTTCTCCACACCCTCACCAGCATTTGTTATTTTCTTGTCTTTTTTCATAGTAGCCATTAAAACTAGGTTGAAGTAATAGCTCATTGTGGTTTTGATTTGCATTTCTCTGATAATCAAAGATGTTGAGCATTTTTACATAACTGTTGGCCACTTGTATGACTTCTTTTGAGAAATGTCTATTTGTATCTCATGCTCATTTTTAAATCAGATTATTTGGCTTTTCACTATTGAGTTGTTTGAGTTCCTTATATATTCTGGATATTAGCCCTTGTCGGATGCATATTTTGTAAATATTTTCTCCCATTCTGCATGTTGTCTCTTGACGCTTTGATTATTTCCTTTGCTGTGTAGGAGCTTTTATTTTGATATAATCCCATTTGTCTATTTTTGCGTTTCTGTCCCTATGATTTTGAGGTCTTATTAAGCACTTTTATCCAAAGCAATGTCATGAAGTGTTTTCCCTGTTTTCTTTGAGTAGTTTTATAGTTTTGGGTCTTATATTTAAGTCTTTAATCAATTTTCAATTGATTTTTGTGGTGAGAGATATATGTCTAGCTTTGTTCTTTTAGATATGGATGTGCAGTTTTCTCAGCATCATTTATTGAGAAGACCATCCTTTCCCCAATGTGTGTTTTTTGCACCTATGTTGAAAATCAGTTTGCTATAAATGCACAAATCAGTAGTGTTTCTACATGCCAACAGCAGGCTATCTGAAAAAGAAATCAAGACAGCAATGCAACTAGCAATGGCTACAAAACAAGAAATGGCTAGGGATAAATTTAACCGAGAGGGTAAAAGAGCTCC